>NT_187542.1:0-119912 GCF_000001405.40 Homo sapiens | reverse complement strand
ACCAGTGTGCCTGTGGCAAACGGATCACGACCCCAAACACAGGCTCTGCGCTTGCAGTTTAGATTTATAGGCCAATCACCAAGCCTCAAGCCGCCAATAAAAAGGGGAGAGTGTATGTTTCCACCCGATTATGACTGAGCCTCTTTGTGGCCAGCCGGCTTGCCAAGAGAGCGGCTGGCTCACAGTGGGCATCCTCTCATTTTGAAAGGCCTGAGGATGCGGCGGGGGGTAAACAAAGCATGTGTTTCCAAACTTCAGATGTTACACCAACTATTCTTTTTACCTTGTCCGTTAAAATTGGGCCAAAGGACTTACTCTTAAGTTTGCTAACTTCCTTCCCTGGGCAATTTCTGGGCTTCATCACTCATATGATCCCAGGAATTTACTGCACTTTGTAGAGCTCCTCTGCCAGAGAATGTGGTGTCTCTTCTTGGTTTATCTGTTCATCTGTCCATTCCCTCATCCTGTGAAGCAGGGTGACGGGGAGAGAAGAGGTACCAAAATCCGGCCTGGTCATCCCATCCTTTGGAAAGGTGGCTGCCCACTGTGTATTCCCAGGGGAACCCCCAAGTCTAACTGTGAAGGTCAGGCTTCCCTAGAGCCAACCAGACACATGGATCCTTGGTTGCTGTCCCCTGCCAGAGGCTCTAAGTTAAATATATATAGATATATGTATATCTCATATATATATATATGTAAATGTTTACTGGTAAATACACTCTTCTTTAAAGAGAAGTTTTAAGCTTACAGCAAAATTGATCAGAACATACAGAGATTTCCCACAAGCCCCCACCCACCCCCGCACACACAGCCACCCCACTCTCAACATCCATTATTCGAGTGGGACATTTGTTACAACTGATGCACCTGCAATGTCATATCACCATCACCCAGAGTCCACGTTCCATTAGGGTTTGCTCTCAGTGTTGCACATTCTACGGGTTTTGACAAATATATAACAACGTGTGCACCACTGTACCATCCTACGAAATAGTTCCACCGTCCTAAAAATCCTGTTTTCTGCTTATTCCTCCCTCCCTCCCCAAAAACCCTGGCAACCATTATCTTTTCATTGTCCCCAAGCTGTGTCTTTTCCAGAGTGTCATAGAGTTCAGTTGTACAGTATGTACCCTTTTCAGATTGGATTCTTTTATTTACTTAGTAATATGCATTTAAGGTTCTTCTGTGTCTTCTCATGGTTTGATGGCTCATTTTTTTTTTAGCACTTTAAAAATATTCCATTGTCTGGATGTACCACAATTTATTGACGCATTCACCTACTGGACATCTTTGTTGCTTCCAAGTTTGGGCAATTATCAGTAAAGCTGCTATAAGCATGTACTTGCAGATTTTTGTGTGGACATGTATTTTCAGCTCATTTGGGTGAATACCAAGGAAAGCAATTTCAGGCTCCTATCGTAAAAGCATGTTTTGCTTCAGAAGAGGCTGCCAAACTGTCTTCCAAAGTGGCTGTGCCATTCTGCATTCCCACCAGCAACGGATGACAGTTCCTGTTGCTTCACACCTTTGCCAGCAATTGGTGGCGTCAGTGCTCTGGATTTTCATCATTCTGATAGGTGTATGGTAGTGTCTCGATGTTGTTTTAACAGAGAAAGATTTTCATCAAGACCCAGAACCAATGCCTGGTTCTTATCCACATGCCTTTCTATGATTACCTCTCTGAATTATGGGGTTGCAATGTCCAGAAACAAAGACACCATGGGGAAATCTCTAAGAGGCACACAGCATAGAGGTCTTATCAGGGGAGAGGAGAGCTAAGTCCAGAATGGGCTTTACCACTGCTTGTGTTAGTTTCCTATTGCTGCTGTAGTAAATTGCCACAAATTCCATTGCTTAAAACAGTGCTAATTTACTGTCTTAATGTTCTGGAGGTCAGAAATCCAAAATCAGTCTCACAAGGCTGAAGGCAAAGTGTCAGCAGGACGGGTTCCTTCCGAGGCTCTGGAGAACTGTTTTCCTGCCTTTTCCCACCCGTAGAAGCTGCTGCACTCCTTGGCAGGTGTCTCCTTTTCCGTCTTCAAAGCCGGCAGCATAGCCTGTCTCTCTGCCACCACGTCACCCTCTTCTGAGGTCACTTCTGCCTCCGCCTCCCTCTCACAAGGGTCTCGCGATGATGCTTAGAGCCCACCAGGACAATCAGGTCATCTTCCCATAGTGAGATATCAGCAAGGTCCCTTTTGACACATAAGGTAAGGTTCACAAGTTCCTGGGATTAGAACGTGGACATCCTTGGAGGTGTATTATTTAGCCCAGCACAAACACCAAGTAAGGACATCTACAGTCCAAAGCATTTTATGTTCTAACTGACATTTTAGATTCTTTAGATATACAAGATACTGCAAAAGAGACTATGTCTTACTGTTAGTAGAAAGAAAATAGATAAATCCTTGCCTTTACCTAAAGGAAATCCAGGTAAGAATGACAAAGCATTAATGACATTGGTAGATGCTAATTTCAACCCTTCATTATTAATTGTTTGTCTACCTTTTTTCCAATTTTGCCACGTAAGGGGGATCTGTCCCACTCTACCTGTAGCAGATTATCCCTGAATTATTAAAATCCAAATGAACATGTGGCAATTGGCTTCCATTATGCACAAATTTATAATTCACAAGGTATCTGCTTCTGTAGGTTGAGGGGTGGTGGCAGTTATTGGACACACAAAACCCAATGGGCTGTTAAATGCATCAAGGAATTTGAACCACATTACACATTTCAAGTTTCTCGATGAAAATGAGATGTAAAATGGGGGAATTAAACTGTGTTAATTCATTTTTGCCATTCGAGACTATGATTCAATGTTATAGAACCTAGCGAATCAACATTTATGTAATTGGGAGTTTTTTATTACATTCTGAAAGACAAAGTATTTTAAAAATTGATAAAGGCCTTTCAAACATTGTGTCCCTTAAAACCAAACTAGCTATAACTGTTATTTGTAGTCAACACTAAAACATAAGAAAACAAAAACAGGGCAGTGGAAAGTAGTAGAAAAAACATTAGATTTATAGCCAAAAAAAAAAAAAATCACAGAATTTTGGCTCTGATGATGCTGCTTATAGCTGTGTACTTTAAGACAAGCAGTTTGATTTCTCTAACCCTCTGTTTCCTTGTTTACAAAATTTGAACGATATTGCCTTCTTTGAAAGATTGTCACAATAAGTAGATGAAATACTGCATCTCAAGAGAATTGTTACATGTAAAGTAAGATGTTACTAGGAAGGGCCCACCATGGTCTATAGCTTACTTATAAACATATCCATTGTTAATTGAATTTTTGGTGGTTTAAATTAACTAAAAATGTTCAGGTATTCTTAAAGTTAAAAGTTACAATAACAAAATTCATCTCTAGCCCCAGAGGACAACTCTAAATTTACCATATTGTTGAAGTTACTATTGCTATTTTATCATCTAAGGAAATACTAACTTCTGGAAATAATAGTAGCTTCAGAAAAAAGGACATGGTTATGGTGTCAAGAGGGCTGAAATGAAAGACATCTAACTCAGCCATTCCATTTGATGTGAAAGAACAGGTACAAAGGTACTGACATGACCGGGAGATAGAGAGGGGCAAACAGCCTAAGGAGAAAACAGCAATTTAAATGACTGAAATCTACAAATGTTTTCATTTAATATATAGTCTTTTAATTTAACACGTTTCGTAAGTAAACTCTCATGATATTTTCTAGAACAGCAATCCACAACCTTTTTGGCACCAGGAATCAGTTTCATGGAAGACAATGTTTCCATGGACGGGTGTTGTGGGGAGACAGTGACAGATCATCAGGCATTAGATTCTCATAAGGAGCATGCAACTTAGATCCCTCACATCTGCAGTTCACAATAGGTTTTGTGCTCCTCTGAGAATCTGATGCTGCTTCTGCTCTGACCAGAGGCAGAGCCCAGGCGCAGTGCGAAGGATGGGGAGCAGCTGTTATACAGATGAAGCTTTGCTTGCTCATCTGCCAATCACTTCCTGCATGCTGCCTGGTTCCCACACTGGTTCATGGCCTGGGGGTTGCGGACCCGTGTTCTAGAAGAGGCAAATAATAGTAGCAACAAGTACTACAAACACTCATCCTGAAGAGTTGCACCTACCTCCTAGAATTCTTATCAGGATTTAGAGTATAGCTCACTGAGCTGCCCCCAACCCAGGCCTTTGCCCTGTGACCCCCTGCTCACCCCTGTGTAGCAACCGAAAAGTTAATTTAAGCCTGGTATGAATAGACCCTCCAGGACTCTACCCCAGGACCACAGCCAGTATCCCTTCTGATTGGTCCACACCTGTGCTGTCCAGGGCGTTCCATGTTTTAAATATCACCTCAGCTCACATATAGACCAGTTACTCTTCTCTGTATGTATTCAGAGGTCGGCCTTCCAGATCAGCGGCAAATCCTGACACCTAATTATAGGCACCTTTTACAATTTTCTGTGGATCTAGGATTTCTGTTCAGTACCATCCAAGTGGGGCATTATACAGAGTAGCCAGTCAATACATATTTGTTGTTAGATTGTTCCCAAATATCCTACTTTCAACAAGTAATCTACACTCCTTTACCTTTCCACTCAGATACAGTGTTTTACCTGTTAATAATTTAGCTGCACCTTTTTTTCTCTTGGAATCTTTGCATTGATTCACAATTATCTTCAAATGGGAAAATTAAATCTGTAAATAATTCTTAATAGTCACAGGACCAGGACCCAATCTGCATATGCCATGGATTGCTGTGTTCTAACAAAGCAAGCATAAGCTAGAGTTGTTTATTTATTTATTACAAAATGAATACTGGTTATAAAAAAAAACCTGCTCTGTTTATCAGCTTCCTCAGAGGTAAACACTGTTAATATAGAAACACTTTTCTACATGACTTCTAAAATTTTTGATACAAAAAAATGAGGCTTTATTATAAAAGTTTTCTAGTTCTTGCTTTTTTCCCTTGACAGGTTCTTGTCAACCTCTTTTCATGCCAGTACATCAAAGTCCTGTTGATGGTCATTTAGATTATTCAACTGCAAATAACATTGTAGAAATATCTTTGAATAACATCTTTGAAATGATTGACAAGAGTGATAAAATATTAATTGTATGCATATTTATACCAAAATAAAAATAGTGGGTATTTTTGAGAATTGGATTTTCTTTTGATTTTTCCCTTATCTTTTCTTCTATATTCTCCTAATTTTCTACACTGAACATGTATTAATTTCATAATCACACAAAAATTTTCTAAAACTGAAATTTAAAACACACTGAGGAAAATAAATATTCAATGTACCAAAAATTAATTCCACCGCACTGTAATAAATTATCTGTTGGTCAATGCTTTCATTGTATACTAGACCCTGTGGATTGAACAAGGTCTTTACCTATGCTCCATTCATCAAAATGAATGCTTAAAATATCTTTCCATTTAATATGGTCTCAAAGGGATTTGGCAAAATGCCTGCTTGAATGCATTATTAAATATGTCCAGGAGAATACTGTTTTGATTTCATAAGTCAACTTCGGAAGACAAAGAACACAGCCACCACAACATTCTTCAGTTAACTATGATCAAGTTGGTTCTAGTCAATTGTACGTACCTTGACGGCCTTTGATTAAACTGTGTCATTACAATCACGCCAGTGGATCGCCATCATTTGAATTTGACTCATGGAAAAAGTATTACATAATTTCTTTTTTTTTTTTTGAGACAGAGTTTTGCTCTTGTTGCCCAGGCTGGAGTGCAGTGGCGTAATCTCAGTTCACTCAGTTCACCACCTCCCGAGTTCAAGCAATTCTCCTGCCTCAGCCTCCAGAGTTGCTGGGATTACAGGCTTGCACCACCACGCCCAGCTAATTTTGTATTTTTTAGTGGAGATGGGGTTTCGCCATATTGGTCAGGCTGGTCTCGAGCTCCTGACCTCAAGTGAACCACCCACCTTGGCCTCCCAAAGTGCTGGCATTACAGACATGAGTCACCATGCCCGGCAGTATATATAGATATATACATTTTTTTGAGACAGAGTCTTGCTCTGTCGCCCAGGCTGGAGTGCGGGGGTGACCGCGGCTCACTGCAACCGCCATCTCCCGAGTTCAAGCTATACTAGTGCCTCAGCCTCCAGAGTAGCTGAGACTACAAGCATGCGCCACCACACTTGGCTAATTTTTGTATTTTTAGTAAAGATGGGGGTTCACCATTTTGGCCAGGCTGGTCTCAAACTCCTGGCCTCAAGCAATCTGCCAGCCTTGGCCTCCCGAAGTTCTGGGATTACAGGCGTGAGCCACCATGGCCGGCCCCTCTATAAATATTTTCAAACCATATGACCACTTTATTTGTTTAGATAGAGATTTTTCAACCCCTGAGGAAAGAGCTCTTACTGTCTAGGCTCTCACTGACCACCAGTGCTTTGATCACCATTTTTAAAATTTTAATTGATTAGAAAAAAAAAAGAACAATGTGCCAGCTTCAGCTAAACATACCAGAGAAAGATAAAATTAGTAACCATGCGTGGGGTGGTACAGAATTCCAGGGGTTTATTAGGCATAATCCCACCTCAAGATGAACTCACATGTAAATATTTATGCCGGGTCCAGTGGAAACCTACACACAACAGATGGCTCTCAGGAACAGTAAGGAGCTGGAGATCCACTGGGAGCCACGAAGTTCCAAGACTGGCTTAACATGATTCAGGGCAATAAGGCAATCCGTTGGACTGGAAATGAAGTTGGCATGCTGATAGAATTTTCAGAAACGTAAGTGTTATTGCATTTATCCATGGAAATATAAAGTAAGCTTTCCTACATTGGATTCCTTCTTCCTTGCCCATTCAAGATATTTTTTCAGCTTTCAACTGATTTTATCCGTGCTCTAAGAATCCCACTATTTGGGAAGCTGCTATATCTACCTAACCATCATCTTTTGCTGAAAAATATTCCCTGTGGTGAAAGTATTTTGTGGAATTGTCTATGAAAATGTTAATTATTTTTGAGGTTGTGTCAATGACTTCATGACTAGAGTCAAAAATGCACCTGGGATTTTTGTCCGTCATGGCTGGGAATTACTGCTGCATTCGCCAGTGCAATGGTTAAATGGAATGAGCATGTGAGGCCCAAATGTAGGACCTTGGCAAGCAAGAGTGCCTGGTTTGATTGTATGTTTTCATTTTGTAGAAGGATGTCACAAGCTTTTAAATTGGGTATAAAATGACAGATAGTTACATGACTACTTTTATCTATAAGACAAGGGAGTTGAACAAAATTATTTCTAAGTTCCCTTTGATTTTTGAAATCCCATGATTCTACCTTTATCACTCTCAACATGACAGTAACGGCTGCCCACTGCTGTAACAGCATTCCAAGAAGGTTTTTTAATGACCATCGACTGCCAACTATCATTTTCCGTGTCACTGGCCCAGAAAAAGGCAGGTCCATTTGGAATTTATAGAAAATGAGGCATTAGAACCACAGACTAAAGCTATCCGTTCCTGTGTGGCTTCAGACATAGGGTTTTAGCTGAACAGAGAAAGCATTTCTTAATGGTGACTATTTTGGCCAATCCGTACAAAACCTCATCACCCTTACAAATAGAAGCGATTAATTAGAGTAATGATGACCAATCTTTGGTGCCAGTTCCCAGAAAGTAAAATGCATGTCAAAATATTCCTAAAAGGTTATCTTGGCTGGGCAAAGATGGAACATGAATGCTTTTTCCAAGGTGGCAAATGAACAACAGCCCTCCTCTGCGACTATCCTCTGTGACTGCCTTTTATTATTTTTTGAAAAACGAAGAGGCTTTTGGGGACTAGGAAGGAGTAAAAGGCAAGAGTAGAAAAATGGGAGGTATTAGATGGTATCTGAATACTGCATCTCAAGGATTCAGTAAAAGCTCATGAAAATGCTTTGAGACTCTGAGCTTAAGAAGCACTGTGCTGGGACCCAAGTAACCACAGGGAGAAGCCACAGGTAGCCTCTCTACTTCACCATCTAATACGACAGCAGCAGCTTAAAGCAGCAGCTTAGGGCTTAGGGGCAATAGACCTCCAAGAAGAATTTGAGGGAAAGAAAGAAAATTAAAAGCCGTATTCCTGAGGAAGTCATTGCCACTTCGGGGATTCCTGAGATTACCTGGGAAAGGATCTGGCCTGAGTTGCCGCCTGGAGATTTGGAGATAAGTAGATTTGGGTGTCGCTGTTAGCATGATCACATTTTTACCTGCAAGTAATGAAGGTTAGAATATATACACTAATGGTAGATGAATTCCAAAAATTTAGATTTTTACCTGACATAGTGATACAGATACCCTCTATTTTGGTAAATAAAGAGGTAAAATTGAGAGCAAGCCAAAATTCATTTTTTTCAGAGTGAACTGAAGTTAAATAGGAAGTTTTAAAGTAGAGAAGTAGAAAGATTGTTGTGTGCAAATATCACTATTATACTTTAAGGAAGTGTTATCCCTCAGTATTAACTATGGAAACTGGCCAAGTCAATACAACACTCTGGCCTTATTTTTTAATTACAAAAATAGGAGGATAAATAAAGTGATTCTTAAAGCCCTCTATAAGTTTTAATGTTTGTAATATTCCATGATTCTGCCAATTGCTTCTAAGAAAAAAATAATATATATTATATATAATATATATAGATCATATATTATATATAGTATATATAGATCAAAGGCAGTTGGTAATTTGGGTGTTAGGTCCTTTGATTATTCGGTTACTTTTATTTTTGATGTTTTGATATAACATAAACTACTGTAATTATCAACATCGATTTTAGTCTTTAAAATATTACCTCCATTTAGACCTATAGTAACGTGAGAAGTTTTCTATTTTTAGCCATGAAATCCTCTGCACCACAGTCACAAATTCAGGTGGAACAAAGCATTTGCCTTCTCTATATGGTATGCCAACCTCTCTATACGGTATGCCAACCTCTCTATACAGTATATGCCAACCTCTCTATACGGTATGCCAACCTCTCTATACGGTATCCCAACCTCTCTATATGGTATATGCCAACCTCTCTATATGGTATATGCCAACCTCTCTATAAGGTAGGCCAACCTCTCTATACAGTATGCCAACCTCTCTATACGGTATATGCCAACCTCTCTATATGGTATATGCCAACCAGCTAGAGGAAAAACATATCCCAATGCTGCACTACTCCAGGAGCAACAGGGTCCCCAGATTCAGGTGATCTTCTTCCCTTTAGTCCCTCATTCAACACAATTCACTTCCATAGAGGTATGGTTTCTAGCCTACACCAGTTTATTCATGTAGCAATCAAGCATACTGGGTCGCACTGAAAATGAAATCTCAATCTGCTTCACTAAGGGAACTTTTTATTTCTTTTAAGCTCTGTCTTTGATTATTACCCCATGGCACAGGAAAAGCAGTGATAAAGCACTTTCACTGATGTCACCCCTGTGGTATCTGTTACACCTGTGATGAAGTAATTATTCAACTATAATAACTGCTTATTAAAATGAAATGCAATAAATACTACAAAATCTGTAACTCGATTTAGCTACTTAGGAAATACGTAGCCATGGCCCATTAAGCTACCAACAGCAAACATCTATTCATGTGTGTATGTAATCTGCAATTGTATTCCCATGTTATTTTTAAACGCCCTGTGTTGTGATATCCTCAGTTCAATTATTAGCAAACAGGTGTCCTCATTATACAAAAAGTGTAAATGGCCATCAACAACTCCCCTGACAGCAGAGAAACTAAAGACTCAATTCTCATGGAGAATCACTTTGTCACGGAGATTATCTTTCAGCACCTGCCTGAGTGGAAGTGTCTTTTCTGCTGTACCTAATGCCTACCTGGGGAATAGATTCTACTTTGGACACTTCCATAAACATTAAAAACAAATTCTATCCAGAATAAATAATTCTAAGACTCACATAAGAAGCATTCTCTCACTGCCTCTGTGGATGTTACTTTGCTGGCTACAGGCAAAGAGTATAGTAAATACGGGAGAGGTGATACTGTGGTTAGCTACTACAAAAGATGAGGGAAAACAACAGATCTTAATAAATAAACGACATAGCGTTTTGTCTCCATGTTTCAAAGGAAATTGGCTTCTAAAGAAGAAAAGAAAAACCTACTTTCAAACTTTATTTGAACTGTCTAGAAAGAGATTATATAATCAAAACAAGAGAAAGCATAAAAGGAGTTCAACAGCTTGGGCAACACAGGAAGACTCTGCTTCTACAGAAAAATACAAAAATTAGCCAGGTGTGGTGGTGCATGCCTGTAATCCCAGCTACTTGAGAGGCTGAGGTCGGAGGATCACCTGAGCCTGGGAGGCAGATGTTGCAGTGAGCCAAGATTGTGCCACTGCTCTCCAGCCTGGGCAACAGGGAGAGACGCCATCTCAATCCAGCCTGGGCAACAGGGAAAGACCCTATCTCAAAAAAATAAAAAAAATAAAAACGAGCTTCAAGAAAACTGGGATTTGTCTTCCCTTTATCTGTATTTTCTGAAAGCATATAACCTGCCCTACTCACTTCTTCTTCTTCTTCCCATTGCTTGTAGTTTCTTTCTGTTTAAAATTTTAGTAATAATGATTGCCTCTGAAGTGTGTTATAAGTTCTACTAGAACTTCGTGACCTTGAAAAAAGACCTTAATGACCTTGGAGGAAAAGAGTTTTCTCTCTTAACACACACACACACACACACACACACACACACACACACACACACACAGGCACATATACACACACACTATTTCACTGGTTGGCCATTCATCGTCTTAGCCTAAGTGTCAGTCATTGATATTTTAACAAAATCTATTCAATGTTTGCGTGTAACTGGCCATGCATGTATGTAGGAGGTGCGTTATTTGTTAATGTAGACACTCAACTGGAGGCTCTCTGTTACTTCCTAAACATTCTGAAGCTGATTTTTATAACTTGTCTTTGTGGCAGATACTAGGTGGAAACACTAACATAGTAAAGCACTCTGTATTTCTGCTCTGAAAGTCTTTATGAAAACACTCACAGTAGGGGAATTGCTATTTCAGATGAATTGAAAGCTCATATGCAAGCCCTCGCAGACAATAGAAGAGGAGTTTCTCAGGCACGCTGCTGGATTGACTTTGTAGTGGAGACAGAGATTTGCCCTGTTCATTAGTTGAAAAATAAGAGGAAAAGAGCAAGTTTTAAAGTAACTAATTGGGCTGAGTACAGTGGCCCATGCTTGTCATCCCAGCATTTTGGGAGGCTGAGGCAGGAAGATGGCTTGAGCTCAGAAGTTTGAGACTAGCCTAGGCAACATGGTGAAACCTCAGCTCTATTAAAAATACAAAAATTAACCAGCTATGGTGGTGTGCACCTGTAGTCCCAGCTACCTGGGAGGCTAGGGTGGAAGAATGGCTTGAGCCCAGGAGGTCGAGGCTGCAGTAAGCTGAGATAATGCCTCTGCACTCCAGCTGGGTGATAGAGAGTGAGACCTCATCTTAAAAATAATAATTAAAAAAAAAAACAGAAGCAAATAAATTTGAAAAAATAAAGTAAATAATTGAGATTAAAATTTTATCCTTTTAATTAAATTTCACTTTCTAGAATTGATATGCACCAGCTCATGACTTTTACCTTGTATTAGCACGATCAGAAAATCGAGGCTTTGCACCACCTAGTTTTTTAAACAACTAATTAGATTCACACCTTTTTTTTTTTTTTTGAAACAGAGTCTCTCTCTCTCTCTGTCACCCAGGCTGGAGTGCAGTGGCGCGATCTTGGCTCACTGCAAGATCCACCTCCTGGGTTCAAGCGATTCTCCTGCCTCAGCCTCCCAAGTAGTTGGGATTACAGGTGCCCACCACCGCACTCGGCTAATTTTTATATTTTTAGTAGAGACAGGGTTTCACCATGTTGGCCAGGCTGGTCTCGAACTCCTGACCTCAAGTGATCTGCCCGCCTTGGCCTCCCAAATTGCTGGGATTACAGGTGTGAGCCACCGCGCCCAACCAGTTCACGCCTTTTTAGAGCAGGTGTCCTTACACAGGCCTTGCAGATACTCTCTCACCCTCACAGCCCAGAAAACCACCAACCCCATCAGCTTGAGAGAGGCAAGCAGAATCTGTGATGGGCTGAAGGGGCTCATCAAAACACTGAAACACTGAAGCTATAGGCGGAATGTTTTCCTTACCTTTATGTGTGTTAGAGTTCTTCTTTGCAAACAGCAAAAACTAATTCTGGTGAATTCATGTGAGAAAGGAATTTAACAATACATTGGATAGTTCACTGAATTTACTGGAAATATATTACGTATCCCAGAAATCAGTTATAAAACCAAGGGAGGCCAGCGATTCAAAACAATAATGAAAACGATACCACAGGCAAGACTGGTTAAGACTCCTCTGCTATCGGACACGGCATTTCACCACTGGAAACAGCTGTTGCTGGCCTAGAACCTTGAATGCTGCTCCAGCTCATGCCTGGAGAATAAATGCTAAGCTGTGCCGACTTCTTTGCAACACTAACTCTGGTTTCAAGACCTGGGACTAAGCAGGATGAAGCCACGTGCCAGCATTCTATCTGTGCAGGTCACAGACTGCAAATTGGCCTCTGCCGATTCTGGGTTCCATGCTGGTGCTGAGGATTGATTGTCCCTAAAACTCATGCAATGAGTTTGACACTGAGCAGCTTAAAAGAAAATAGATATACAATGTAAATATATATGTAATGTATATAATGTAATAAAATTATGGAAAATATAATTTTATATAATTAATGTAATAATGTAAATATAATTATATATAATATATTATATATTATTAGTTGTATTAGTCTGTTTTCATGCTGCTGATAAAGAATACCCACAACTGGGTAATTTACAAACAAGAGAGGTTTATTGGACTCACAGTTCCACATGGCTGGGGATGCCTCACAATCATGGCAGAAGGCAAACCACATCATACATGGATGGTGGCAGGCAAAGAGAGAGCTTGTGCAGTCAAACTCCCATTTTTAAAGTCATCAGATCTCGTGAGACTTATTCACTATCATGAGAACAGCACAGGAAAGACCAGCCCCCATGATTCAATTACCTCCCACCAGGTTCCTCCAATGACACATGTGAATTGTGGGAGTTACAATTCAAGATGAGATTTGGGTGGGGACACAGACAAATCATATCATTAGGCCCCGACCCCTCCCAAATCTCATGTCCTCACATTTCAAAACCCATCATGCCTTCCCAACAGTCCCCCAAAGTCTTAACTCATTTCAGCATTAACTCAAAAGTCCACAGTCCAAAGTCTCATCTGAGAGAAGGCAAGTCCCTTTCACCTGTGAGCCTGTAAAATCAAAAGCAAGTTAGTTACTTCCTAGATACAATGGGGGTACAGTCATTGGGTAAATAACAGCCATTCCAAATGGGAGAAATTGGCCAAAACAAAGGAGCCATTGGCCCCACGCAAGTCTGAAATCCAGCAGGGATGTGAAATCAGAAAGCTCCAAAATGACCCCCTTTGACTCCATGTCTCACACCCAGGTCATGCTGAGGCAAAAGGTGGGTTCACCTAGTCTTGGGAAGCTCCACCCCTGTGGCTTTGCAGGGCATAGCCTACCTCCTGGCTGCTTTCATGGGCTGGCATTGGAAGTCTGCAGCTTTTCCAGATGCACAGTGCAAGCTGTCAGTGGATCTACCATTCTGGGGTCCAGAGGATGATGGCCCTCTTCTCACAGCTCCACTAGGTGGTGCCCCAGTAGGGACTCTGTGTGGGGCTCCAACCCCACATTTCCCTTCTGCATTGTCCTAGCAGAGGTTCTCCATGAGGGCCCTGCCCCTGCAGCAAACTTCTGCCTGGACATCCAGGCATTTCCATACATCTTCTGAAATCTAGATGGAGGTTTCCAAACCCCAATTCTTAATTTCCGTGCACTTGCAGGCTCAACACCATGTGGAAACTGCCAAGGCTTGGGGCTCCCACCCTCTGAAGTCACAGCACAAGCTCTACGTTGGCCCCTCTCAGCCATGGCTGGAGTGCCTGGGATGCAGGGCACCAAGTCCCTAGGCTGCACACAGCATGGAGACCCTGGGCCTGGCCCAGGAAACCACTTTTTCCTCCTAGGTCTTCAAGGGTGTGATGGAAGGGGCTGCCATGAAGACCTCTGACATACCCTGGAGACATTTTCCCCATTGTCTTGGTGATTAACATTTGGCTCCTGGTTACTTACCCAAATTTCTGCAGATGGCTTGAATTTCTCCTCAGAAAATGGGATTTTCTTTTCTATTGCATTGTCAAGCTGCAAAATTTCCAAACTTTTATGCTCTGCTTCCCTTATAAAACTGAATGCTTTCAACAGCACCCAAGTCATCTCTTACATGCTTTGCTGCTTAGAAATTCCTTCTGCCAGATACTCTCAAGTTCAAAGTTCTACAAATCTCTAGGGCAAGGGCAAAATGCTGCCAGTCTCTTTGCTAAAATATAACAAGTGTCACCTTTGCTCCAGTTCCCAAAAAGTTCCTCATCTCCATCTGAGACCACCTCAGCCTAGATTTCATTGTCCATATTATTATCAGCATCATGTTCAAAGCCATTCAACAAGTCTCTAGGGAGTTCCAAACTCTTCCACATTTTCCTGTCTTCTTCTGAGCCCTCCAAACTGTTTCAGCCTCTGCCTGTTACCCAATTCCAAAGTTGCCTCCACATTTTCAGGTATCTTTTCAGCAGCACCCACTCTACTGGTACCAATTTACTATATTAGTCTGTTTTCACACTGCTAATAAAGACATAGCCAAGACTGGGAAATTTACAAATGAAAGAGGTTTATTGGACTTAACAGTTCCACATGGCTGGGGATGCCTCACAATCATGGTGGAAAGCAAGGAGGACCAAGTCACATCTTACGTGAATGGTGGCAGGCAAAGAGAGAGCTTGTGCAGGCAAACTCTCATTTTTAAAACCATCAGATCTCATGAGATTTATTCACTATCACAAGAACAGCCAAGAAAAGATCCACCCCCATGATTCTATTACTTCCTACCAGATTCCTCCCAGGGACACATAGAAATTGTGGGAGTTGCAATTCAAGAGGAGATTTGGGTGGGGACACAGCCAAACCATATCACACACACACATATGTTTTAGGAAATTGTGCTTTTCACTGAAAATACAGTTTATAACTTTTATCAGATTCTTATCCATGTTGGTAACCTAATCAGACTAGGAACTGCTATGAATAGAATCATAGAACTTTACCTCCAGAAGGAACCAGAGAACCAAAGAGATGAAGAAGTCACACAGTACCAGCCATTAGTACAATTAACACAAGAGCCAGAGTAGAAAGTCTTGGAAAGCTGAAGCTGTTTGTATTTAAACAAACATAATCCTATTGATGGGCCTTCAATTTGAAATTTATATGTAACTTTGTATCTCCCAATAACTTTTCAATTTATGAGAATTGTCAAACTCCTTTACAGTCACTAGATGAAGAAAACTTATTGGCAGACACAGAAAAGATCTTCACCTTGTTAACTGATAGATTCAATGCCATCCCCATCAAGCTACCAATGACTGTCTTCACAGAATTGGAAAAAACTACTTTAAAGTTCATATGGAACCAAAAAAGAGCCCGCATTGCCAAATCAATCCTAAGCCAAAAGAACAAAGCTGGAGGCATTATGCTACCTCACTTCAAACTAGACTACAAGACTACAGTAACCAAAACACCATGGTACTGGTACCAAAACAGAGATATAGACCAATGGAACAGAACAGAGCCCTCAGAAATAATACCACACATCTACAACCATCTGATCTCTGACAAACCTGACAAAAACAGAAATGGGGAAAGGATTCCCTATTTAATAAATGGTGCTGGGAAAACTGGCTAGCCATATGTACAAAGCTGAAACTGGATCACTTCCTTACATCTTATACAAAAATTAATTCAAGATGGATTAAAGACTTAAATGTTAGACCTAAAACCATAAAAGCCCCAGAAGAAAACTAGGCAATACCATTCAAGACCTAGGCTTTACCATTCAGGACTCCATGACTAAAACACCAAAAGCAATGGCAACAAAAGCCAAAATAGACAAATAGGATCTAATTAAATTAAAGAGCTTCTGCAACTATCATCAGAGTGAACAGACAACCTACAGAATGGGAGAAAATTTTTGCAATCTACCCATCTGACAAAGGGCTAATATCCAGAATCTATAAAGAACTTAAACTAATTTACAAGAAGAAATGAAACAACCCCATCAACAAGTGGCCCAAGGATATGAACAGACACTTCTCAAAAGAAGACATTTATGCAGCCAACAGACACATGAAAAAATGTTCATCATCACTGGCCATCAGAGAAATGCAAATCAAAACCACAATGAGATACCATCTCACATCAGTTAGAATGGTGATCATTAAAAAGTCAGGAAACAACAGGTGCTGGAGAGGATGTGGAGAAATGGGAACACTTTTACACTGTTGGTGGGACTGTAAACTAGTTCAACCATTGTGGAAGACAGTGTGGTGATTCCTCAAGGATCTAGAACTAAAAATACCATTTGACCCAGCCATCCCATTACTGGGTATATACCCAAAGGATTATAAATCATGCTGCTATAAAGACACATGCACACATATGTTTATTGTGGCACTATTCACAATAGCAAAGACTTGAAACCAACCCAAATGTCCAGCAATGATAGACTGGATTAAGAAAATGTGGCACATATACACCATGGAATACTATGCAGCCATAAAAAATGACGAGTTCATGTCCTTTGTAGGGACATGGATGAAACTGGAAACCATCATTCTCAGCAAAGTATTGCAAGGACAAAAAACCAAACACCGCATGTTCTCACTCATAGGTGGGAATTGAACAATGAGAACACTTGGACACAGGGTGGGGAACATCACACACCGGGGCCTGTTGTGGGATGGGAGGGAGGGGGGAGGGATAGCATTAGGAGATATACCTAATGTAAATGACGAGTTAATGGGTGCAGCACACCAACATGGCACGTGTATACATATGTAACAAACCTGCACGTTGTGCACATGTACCCTAGAACTTAAAGTATAATAATAAAAAAAAGATCTTCACCTTATATGAAAAAAATTTAAAATAAATTTTAAAAACTGGATGTTGTAACTTGCCTGCAAGTTACTTCTCCTCTCGGGGCCACTTAGAAACGACAGCAACACTATTTCCACTCACTTCCAGTATTAAAGGTACAATTAGATCTCTAAATTAAAAAAAAATTATTTCTGGGGGCATATATGGTTCTATTGTGAAATAGTCTACGTTGAGTCAACGTTTGAGTTAATGAGCTTCATTAAAATGTGTTAGCAGATTCTTAAACATTTGCTTTGTAGAATTTCTTTCCTTTGCTTCCTTTTCTCCTTTTCTTTTTCCTTGCTTCCGTCCTATATTGAAGAAACGCACATAAACACTCGTGGAGGAAAGAATCACGTATCATGCATGGGTTTCTTTTGCTCCATCTGTACTACAATGACCACTTGTCACAATTCGACCTTTCATTTAAGAATTGGTTTTTTTTTTAATTTTTTTTTTGAGACGGAGTCTCGCTCTGTCGCCCAGGCTGGAGTGCAGTGGCGCGATCTCGGCTCACTGCAAGCTCCGCCTCCCGGGTTCACGCCATTCTCCTGCCTCAACCTCCCGAGTAGCTGGGACTACAGGCGCCCGCCACCGCGCCCGGCTAATTTTTTGTATTTTTAGTAGAGATGGCGTTTCACCGTGTTAGCCAGGATGGTCTCGATCTCCTGAACTCGTGATCCGCCCACCTCGGCTTCCCAAAGAGCTTGGATTACAGGCGTGAGCCACCGCGCCTGGCCAGAATTGTTTTACAAAGCTGAGAAAAAGATAATAATAGCTTAATATGAATAAGAGTAACAATGAGAAAAATGAAACTGGCCATCAAATATTTAAATATGTGTCTTTATTAATCTTTATTCAAGAAGCTTTCAGAATGCTTCAATTAACTTGTAAAATCCCATGAAGACCTATGAGTAGAAAAATACACCGTTCTTCATTTTATGTGTTAGCAAACCAAGGCAAAGAGAATGAAGGCTTCCTTAGGCATGCATTTTTAAGCAGTAACCAGGGGGTTACAAAGTCATCAACATAATAATAAGACAACTCAGACTTCTAGACCATGAATGAGGCAATACACTAGATAGTATGATTGTGTCAAGTAGATGTTAAATGAAATTGGTGGTCAATATTACCTAGTTAGTTAGTAATCATGGGCTGTGAATAATATATTGGAATAAAAGAGGCAAGGAGAAGGTGGTTGGTGGTGGGAGTGGGAAGTTATGACAGTTTTTTGGTGGCTTCAGAAGATATTTGATCTGAAGAGAGCAGAGAATTTAGAGGAAAAGTGAAGATCTGAAAATACATATTTGAATAAGTAACAGTAAGCTGTTTGTAGTTAAACTGTATCTTTCCTTTAAGCTGTTCGTATCTTTCCTTTCTAAGTGTCTGGATCGTGTATAATAGGAAGTATAAATTCCCTAAGTAGTTTGTTATTACTTGAAACATTACACTTAGGAGTTTAATTTGGGGAGAGCGGTTTATCAAAGCAGGATTTTAAGAAGACATGGCTGGTATTTCCATGAATAAACTTGACCTAGAGCACTGGTAGGGAGAATAAAAAGGTAGAAAAAAACTTACAAAAATATTACGAGAACACATGTAATACTGATACTCTTATTTGCCTTTCAACAATTTATGTCACACAATTGGCAGGAAATTGAGCCAGGTCCCAAACTCAAACGTTCTGACATCAAACAGTGGGCTCCTCCTACCTATACAGACTGTATTAAAAGGGAGGGTGGACATGAAGGTACACATTGATAAAAAGAGCATCAATTTATTTAGTAAAGGGGATAGCGATCAGAGCAAAGCTAAGGCCTAGAGATACACATTTCAGGGCAAGTTGGGAGAACTGAGTTTTCAGAGCTAATGTCAGTCTTTGCAATGAAGCAGGATTGTGTATTACTGAGGTAGAGAGAAGAGACAGGTCCAAGGCATCCTAGGTCTAGAACTTTTTCAAGTCTCTTAAGCTTGGTGCAATAGCAGAGAATATGGATGGGGAAGTGAAGTGGGGTATTTTTCCTAAAGTGGCATGACAATCACAGTCAAAGGTTGAGATAAGGAAGTCTACAATGTTGGTGACAGTTGCAATAAATGTCAAACTAAGGTTGCAAAGTCTGGAAGGGAAGCACAAAGAAGCCCCATGGATAGAGGGAAATGAAAGGAACAAGCACCTAGAAAGGTGAGAGAATGAAGAGCTTACAGGGGTGTACTGCCCTAGTGCATGAAGCTGCTGCCCAGACCAGTGTGGGGAGGACAGAGAAAGGCTTGGCTTGATGTGAGGCCTTTGATGAATGGCTTAGCCAAATGCTAAGGTGGTTGAAATGGGCTCCATGCTATTGCATCCACATCTGTATCATCGTTGACCTTGGAGGAGGAATCCTCTGGCACCATCGCTGAGCTCCAGGGGCGACTGTAACCCCCAGTCACCTAGTGCTGCCTCCTTTGCACCTGTGAGGCCAACAGCTGGTTGCTGGCATGGACTCTGTAACCGTTCTTCCTAGCTCTGAGTCACCTAACGCCATAGATGGATCTATATGCACTCCACAACCCAGGGAGCCGAGAGCTTCAAATAATTTTAAATCAAAAGTTTAGCCTCAGAGGGCATAAGGTTAACCAAAAGTCAGCTTTGCAAAGTCCATAAAACAGAATGAATAAAATAAAATGAGAAGCATGAACATAGCAGTCACTGGAAAGGGAATTTATGCTTCCTATTATACACGGTCCAGACACTTAGAAAGGAAAGATAAAGACCAAAACAAATTTTTTTTGAAAAAAGGCTTTCAAGAGATTACTTTAATGCATATTACTCTCTGTCAATAAAAGGCATGATCAGATATGCTGTAAAAATGGCTATGAATTTAGTCAGGATTATTCTCTTTCATTTTATTGGTGGCCGATATGCTAGGAAAAGATACTAAGAAAATATAAGCCTGCTTTGAAGCAAGTACATAAAAGACAACTTGGAATTTAGTAGCCATAACCCTTGGTCCTGATTCTAAGTGTCGCAACCTTGTGAAAAAGCAAGCATTTTTCAGTAAGGCTAAAGGGAAAATGACGGGGAGGCTCCAAATGGCATTTTTAATGTAAATTGTTAAGGCTCAGTGGAGATGATGAGCTTTTAAAAAAGAAAGAAAGAAAGAAATCACATTGACCAAGAATATATTTGGGAGTTCTCTCAGCAACAGTCATTTGAAATATGATCTATGAATGTTAAGGAAATGCACCGAGCCACAGTCGGCTACTACTAAGACCTTGCATCAGTGTCTGTCCAATTAACTTAATACATCTGATAATTATGCCCACACCATTAAAAGGTATTCGTTTTATGGGCTGTGGGTTGATAGGAAAGATTACTATTTTACCCATATCTGTAATGTCGACTGGAGAGCTGCCGCACTTAAGTTCCCTGCACTCACAGCTCATAAATTTGAGAACAAACTCTCTCCCACTCCCAGCCTTCCAACCCTCAGGCTGCACCAAGGAAGTATTTAAACTGGAAGAAAAAAAGCAGCTCACCAGCTGGAAGGGCTGCAGCAAGTCTAGGACACTGTGACGCAGAGTGCAGCCTTCAGAACGGAAGACCTGCAAGAGGACTCCAGTGCAACACATCTGCTCTTCCACTTCAATGAGACAAATGTCAGATTAGCTGCCGTCAGCAGCTTGCAGCAAACTCAGGGTGATCAAGGAAGGTGAGCTTTTCCTTTCTGATAAACTACACACACACACACACACACACACACACACACATATACATGCACATGCATACATTTTGCTTTCCTTTTCTTTCCAATATAAAAAGGGAAAGACATTGAAAGAAAGGTGAACTCATTCTTGGGGACATGTTCACAAGCTTAAAAGAAAGTACAGATCAGAAAATGGCTAAAAATTGTGGGTTTTTTAAATGGAAAGTTTGATGGCTTTTACAGGAAGAAGCAAGATATATGATAAAGACATCAATTTTTTGTTTTTTTTCTTAAATTAGTTAATAAATATTTACTGATGTGATATAGTTTGGATGTTTGTCCCCTCCAAATCTCAGGTTGAACTGTGATCCCCCGTGTTGGAGGTGGGGCCTGGTGGGAGGTGTTTGGGTCACGGGGGCAGATCCCCTATGAAAGGCATGGTGCCCTCCCCACGGTAATGAGTGAATTCTCCCTCCATCAGTTCTGACAAGATCTGGTTGTTTAAAAGAGTCTGGCACCTCCTCATCTCTCTGGTTCTCTCTCTTGCTCCCCTTCACCTTCCACCATGAGTTAAAGCTTCCTGAGGCCTCACCAGAAGCTGAGCAGATGCTGGCACCATGCTTCCTGTATAACCTGCAAGACCTTGAGCCAAATAAACCTCTTTCCTTTGTAAATTGCCCAGGCTCAGGTACTCCTTTACAGCAATGCAAAACAGACTAGCACCTGATACATAATGGATGCACCGTTGTCTGGGGATATCATCACATACAAGTTGCACACCGTTTCTTCCCTCAAACTCACATTTTACAAGAGAACTCGATTCCAGTTGAATTCTCAGGTTTTCACAACCACAGAATAAGTTATCCCGTTCTATTCTCTCCACAAATAAATGAGAATTAGAATAGAGATGAATAGTTCAACACTGTTGCCTGCAAATTAGTTTCCACAAGGTGCGCTAGTGATCAAAGACAAGGTTCAGTCCCACAGATGAATCTAGAGCATATCATCAAGACGGACATGTTAAAAAGCACAGTGTGGCACATGCCACAGCAGAAGCACGGGGCACATGCAGAGACCAAGGAGTAAAGGACAAATTCTGTGTGCAGGGGCATTGAGAAGGGTTTGCCATGTGGAGATGCTGGAGCTGGTTACATAATGGTGGGAAGGGAAGGGGAATTCCAGATAAGGAAAGACCATTTTCACCCGGTGATACACAGAAGCCCCAGAGAGCGAGCATCGTCAAGATCTCTGCCTCCATCCCACAGAAAGAAAATTTCAAAAATGTGTAAAGTTGCAAGCATTTCAGCATTTCAGCAAATCAATTCTACTTACTTAAGCTCTGGACAGAATATCAGCCCTCATCTTGATATATGGTAGAACAACATTTTGTTTTCACTTCCATCCCATTTCCAAAAGAAAACACAGGAGAATTTAATCTAAAAAGGAGGGCACAGGATGTTAAATTTTCATTTGGTGTCTGAGAAGCAACAGTGCCATAAATGCACAAAGAGCTGGGTGAATTTGTTTATTTTCTGTAACAAAAGTCTAATGATAACTAGACTAAAAACAGTGTTTTCCTCCATTATATTCAAAAAAAGAAATATCATATATGTGCTATGTGTTTGTCAGTCTGTATTTGTCTTATGCAATTTAATGGGTATCAGTAAAAAATTCAAGATTTTCTGTTGAACAGTCTCATAAAGGCTTTCTTGTATCAAACATAACAAACCTAAGTGCCTTGTACGTCACGGCAGGTCAAACCAGTCCAGTGCCTAATATTTTCAAGGTTCTCAGCAAACTCCAAAATTCTAGAAATATGTCTAAGATGCTTAAGTGTAGCCCTATTTCTCAAAGTCTTTTCCAGACCAGTGAAAAAATGAAGAATGGCTCCATCATCATGTTGTGTAGAATGACTTTGCGTGTTCCATATCTCCATACCACAATTCTATAGTACAGGTGCATGGAAAGCATCTGCATTTGGGGGAGATGTTAATTTCCCTTTCTTCAGAACTATCCCAGCTTCTTTGATTCAAGTTGCTTTCTCAAATACTTGCTTTTCCTGAACTCCACTGAACCATGAAATATAGGATGTATTTATGATGTTTTGGAATTGTAAATAAATAGTATGTGAAACCATATGATCATGTTTGTTGTTGTTGTTGTTTTGAGACATAGTCTAGCTCTGTCACCAGGCTGGAGTGCAGTGGTGCAATCTCTGCTCACTGCAACCTCTGCCTCCCAGGTTCAAGCAATTGTCCTGCCTCAGCCTCCAGAGTAGCTGGGATTACAGGCGTAAGCCACCACACCCAGGTAATTTTTTTTTTTTTTTGTATTTTTAGTAGAGATAGGGTTTCACCATGTTGACCAGGATGGTCTCGATCTCCTGACCTCGTGATCCACCCACCTGAGCCTCCCAAAGTGCTGGGATTACAGGCATAAGCCGCCATACCCAGCTAATTTTTTTTTTTTTTGTATTTTTAGTAGAGATGGGGTTTCACCATGTTGACCAGGATGGTCTCGATCTCCTCACCTCGCGATCCACCCACCTCAGCCTCCCAAAGTGCTGGGATTACAGGCATAAGCCACCACACCCAGCCATGACTATGTTTTTTATTGAAATTTTTAATTCTGTCTTTAAAACCATGACTGAATTAATACCCTTGAACAGTTAAACATTTGTTTTGCTTCCCCTATCCCACAATGGGGATACGTTGTCTGATTATCTGGCAAAGTAGTGCACCAGCACCTCAAACTCCATGACAACACAACAAATGTCATCAACTCTTTAGCCAAATAGTATGAGTTCCGTGATTGCAGATTGCATCAGATAGTCAGTGGGCAGCCGATAAATTTGCCAAAAGCGTGATACAGGGACTGTTTATAAGGTGAGGGATTATAGGAAAGTGCGGAGGGGTCAGAGCAGCATTTTGGAGATGGGGACAGTGAGGTGCAATTAGTACTCCTCGGCCTGTGGGAGTAACAGGAGGAAGCAGTTGCCAGAACATCAGGGAAAGGGAGAGAGATGCAGGCAGGTACCGCCTGCTTACTGCCTCCTTCAGTCTCCAGGTGGTGCTCCCTGTTGGTTGGACCTAACTCAAAGTCTGAAAGCAAGGGAGGTGCATTGATGTGGAGCCTATAGGTCAACCTCCAGAGCACACAGCAGAGTGGAGAAGGGTGGAGTGGGTATCTGGAAGGCAAAAGGAAGATGTCCTGCCTAGCCATAGACCTAGAATTTAGGACTTGAAGTTTCACCTCCTGACCCTGAACATTCCAACAATGAATGGATCATGAACTCAAATTTTCCAAGCTTGGATCTGGTCATGTGCTCATCCTTTTCTAGAATTCATTCATTCTTTCTTATTGTTGGAAAGCATTGCCCCAGCAAAGCAGTAAAAAGTAAGTAAAGTGAACTAGATGCAAATATCCAAGCACCTAAATCATATCTGAAGAGTGATTTTGGCAGTAAGAGGAAAATATGGCTCCTGGGTTGTGTACTTCCATGTGCTCCTCTTGTAAACAAAGCATGGAATCCATCAATAGCTGTGATACGTTTGAATATATTCAATAAAGAGAAAGCAGATTTACGAATTCATACATTCCATAGTCAAACCTTAAGGAGACTATGCTAAACTGACTGTGTCAGGCTTGATGTCACGCATCTTCAGATTGACCAAATGCAAGAAGCATTACCATACAGCAAGAACTTTACTTCAGTCATAGCTATGTATTTGGTTCTATTTTTGGTTATGACATTTCTTCTAAAACTAACTCTTTCATATCCACAAAACGTGGGATCCAATATGCAATGGAGAGTTACTTATGCTTCTTGCTGTATAGCCAAGACATCTTAATAAGAAAGAAAACTTAATAAATAATCAAGTTTCTTTAGATATAGCCTATACTTGAGATAAACTGAGATCTTTCTAATGTGCTCCTTACTGAATTGAAGTCTTTTAAAAACTAGTTGAAAATAAAATTTTTTAAACTTCATTTGCAAAGTAGTTTTCTAATGGATTTGGTCCTATCATTAAGATCACCTCACTTAACGACTTTAAGCCAGTCATACATATATATTTTTCCACCAAAAAAGTAAATTTCACCTGGTTTTTTGTGTAAATTCCTGTCCACAGGAACATCTTGAAGTCTGGTCTCTGTAGGTCTGTGGCAAAATAAGCTGGGAGCAACCGGGAAATGCACACTGTGTGCTGGCTCTCGAAACACATCAACAGCAAAATATTGAATTATCACATTGCCTGTTTTGGGAATAAGTTTCACTAGTCAACTTAGATCCAGCATTAGTAATTTGTGAAACTTGGCTCTTATCCAAGTGAGCAGATATATTTCATAGAAACGGCTATTTACAAGGTTGCTGAGTTCAGGTGAAATCAGCTATTTCTATCTAAACCCCAAAAAGGGATGGCCTTTTGTCTATGTTCTGAAGTACGACTTGAGATTATAAACAATTCTGCAGGCTAGTGAGAATAAACCGTATTATTTTAAACTTAGACATGATCCTGTCATTACCAGGGGTTTCTAAATGTTCTGAGTTTTTATTCTAAGGGCCATTGATGCATTTAGAAACTTAGTTTTTAAATTTGAAAGACATAATTAATGTGGTGGATTTTCAGAATTAAATCAGATTCCAAGGTACCATAGTTCTTAGAAGCTTTTTTGAACTTGACAGGTATCTTGATTAGAATTACTTATTGTTTTTGTGATTTTATTTCCCACATTTGCACATATCATAAACTAATTTGTAATTTCATTAGCTACCACATTCATCTCTAGATTATCTGCTTTTACAAGCAGATACATTTTTATATACTTCAATGATCCAGCACACTGCCTTGCATCTAATAGAAACACATTAAATTACTTTGTCAATTCAATCAACAATTTAATGTGAATTATTTGGCTGTAGTTATCTCTCATTTTCTGAAATACCTGTAATTTTTAAAAAAATTGTTTTTAAAGTATTTCTATAAAACACCACTTTTCTCCATTGCAAAAGTCAAGACTTTCTTGTGAGGTAAAGTCTACAATTGATTTTGTTGAACATTTTTAGACACACCAACTCATAGCATCCCGCACGCTACATTCCAAATGCTTCTGCATCCATTTAACATTTGTGACATGAACCATACTATCGTCTCTAAGAAGCCTTTCTTGTCTATGAAATCTTCTTTCATTTCGAGTGAGAGGGTTGGAATAATATTTATAAAGTTTGTCATATTATGGAGTGTTTTAACGCTTACTGATTATGTTATATATTAACTATTTTCTTGCAGTGAAGTCATAAGTCCCTGTACAGAGGAGGTGAAATGCCACATTCTTCCAGGAGGCCCATCTGTATCCAGGTAAATTCCCAGCAAAAATGGCACTGAATAATTACTTACCAGCTGACATATTAGTACTGTCTACCTTGTTCATCCTACCTTCCTCCAAATGAATGAAATATTTTTATATTTGAAAATATGTACAACTCCTAGATATCACCTTGACTTCCTATTGTTTGGTCTAGCCTAGGTTAGAGAAGCAGTTTCAGCTCACTTAATAATTCCTGCCCACTGGCTTTGCTGCCCACAGAGCTGTGTTGAGTAGGGTTGTAAAGCTACACCAAGGCTCAGCAGGAAAATCATCACACTCAATTAGAAGTATCTGACAAGAAGAGGCATGCCTATGGAGACTTGCATGATCTGGCTTGGGTCATTCACAACACATAAAGGAGATGGTTGGTGGCATTCTATAGGTAGAGTCCACCATGTAACATCCGATCTATTCCAACTTATTCATTTCTATTGTCCAAAATCCAAGTGAAATACATAAAAAGTCCCTTGGGGTTTAGATGAGCCCTAAATTTAATCTTAGGCACATGAAAAATCAATTTTTTTTTTTTTGAGACAGAGTCTCACTCTATTGACCAGGCTAGAGTGCAGTGGCACGATCTAGGCTCACTGCAACCTCCGCCTCCCTGGTTCAAGCAATTCTCCTGTCTCAGCCTTCCAAGTAGCTGGGATTACAGGTGCCTGCCACCATGCCCGGCTAATTTTTGTATTTTTAGTAGAGATGGGGTTTCACCATGTTGGCCAGGCTGGTCTAGAACTCCTGACCTCAAGTGATCCACCCACCTCGGCCTCTCAAACTGCTGGGATGAGCTACCATGTCTGGCCTGAAAAACATGATTTTATCTGGTCCTTTTCAAGATGTGACTACTTAACACATTTTAAAAGACAAGAAAAAGCATTTCTCAAGTCCAAAGGTTAAAAGGCTTTTAAAAAGGAAACATACATAACTTTCCCAAGCTGACTTTTCGTCTTCAGAGTAATTTTTGTTTTTTTGTCTTTTCTGTCATGAGCTAGATACATCAAGAAACCTTGGAGTGGTTAGAGGGGCAACAGAATGGAACAATTCTATCCTACTGGAATTCCTGTTTCAAAATTATAACAAGGTCAATGTGATGGAACATCCTAGCTCAGATTCAGTTAGGGCAATGACCAAGAAGATGCTTCACTGAACCACAGAGAAAGCGGCAGAATTAGACATTTACTTTACCTCCCACTGCAAATTGTTAAATACTTTCAAAATTTAACTGGGCATTAAATGCATGTATAATTAACTTTAAAATATTCCTTGTTTCAAAATATTCCCATAACCAGCCAAATGGGAAGCATATGTGTTGTTTTAATCACAACTGTTCTACTGGAGGCCGAAGGCATTGAAACTTAAAAAATCTCAGCAAGTTTATTTAATATAACATAATAATATTAAAAATAATCCTTTGTATTTTCATCTGCACATGTCAACGAATTTTGGAAACATCAATTCCGTAATCTTCACCAATGCATTCAATTTAGATGACGATAAATCCACTCCAAAGCGAACTCTTTTCCACATTGTATGTTTTCCTTCATGATAGAAAAGAGGCTGCCTTTTGCCCCTCAATTTCAAATATTGACAGCCTAGACCTTTCACTTCTTATTGGAAAGGTAAGCCATAGGTCTTAAAGAAAGAAGTTTGTGACTTTCAGTTACAGGAGATTCACTAGAGAAATAGAAAATGACAGCAAGCCGTTTCCTGTGTTTTGTTCCTTAAGAAAACACTGAATCTGATGCTGTGATAAGAGATACTGACAACACAAATGAGCTCAAACCCCAGCAGGCTTCCTCTCTGGGCTAACAGTCCTGCTGGGAGGCGCGTGCTTTTCTGCAACGAGCCGTGTGCACTTGCAGAGCCTCAGCCCTGGCCTCCTTCTCATGGTTGCCTTCTCACTTGTGTGTGCATAGCAGATTTCCCAGGGAAATCTACAGTTCATACAAAATCAGCGAATTAAATCCAGCAGCTGCTGGCCCTCGTGGGTCAGTCTGCTGAGAGCCATACCCAAACCGACCAGGACTCACTCTCCGCAGTGTGCTCTCGCTTGGTCTTCCCCACATCAGAGGCTGGTCCAGATGAACCGTACCACCTGAAATGTTGTAACATTAGAGAAAACAAATTGAGATAACTCAGGCTGAATCACCGTTATCCAATGAACAGCTTACTGAAAGTTATATACGATGCACATTTGCATAGATACATTCACCTACCAACAATTTAAAAGAATCAGAGACAATTAGCATTGTTATTTGCATTTTTCCAAAAAGCTCTCTTCTAGGCCAGGCGTGGTGGCTCACGCCTGTAATCCCAGCACTTTGGGAGGCCAAGGCAGGCGGATCACCTGAGGTCAGGAGTTAGAGACCAGCCTGGCCAACATGGTGAAACCCCATCTCTACTGAAAATACAAAAATTAGCCAGGCGTGGTGGCACGTGCCTGTAGTCCTAGCTACTTGGGAGGGTGAGGCACGAGAATTGCTTGAACCCGGGAGGCAGAGATTGCAGTGAGCCGAGATCGTGCCACTGCACTTCAGCCTGGGTGACAGAGGAAGATTCTGTCCCAAAAAATAAATAAATAAATAAAAGCTCTCTTCTAAATCCTTGGTCAGTAGCAGTCTACAAGATAACTTGGCTTGGATTTAGATTCATTTTTTTTAAATTGTTGTTTCATCTAATTTCTCAGCATTTGTTGCTTTTCTGCTCCCTACCATCCCAGGTAACCCCATAATTGCTTGCTTCCCATCCCAGGATAATTTAATAACAGGCAGCTTTATATCAGCCAGTCCCTTCCCTGCATTGTGCTCTGGAAGATTATTGCAGAGAGTTTTCAACCCACCTAAACTTTTAAAAAAATACTCAGACATCTTACTCAATTACTTGCCAATAGCTCATGACTAATTTCTTTCTAATAGCAATACTGAGATCTGTTCAGTCGCTGGGAGAGTAAAGGGCACAGTTTTTCTCCAATGCCGTCTGCAAAGTGTCTTCTCTACCGGCAAGGTATTGCAGTACTCTAGACTTTGAAGGATGGGAACAACTGTCAGGGTTACCTGAAATAATCTCCCCAACTTCTTAGAAAAACTTTTACATCCACAATAGCACTTACAAAATCCTCTTGAACCATCAATCAAACTTAAATAGATATACCTTCTGCTTCCTTGATCCATTTCATATTACTAGGGTGGAATACATTGTCACATGATTTCTCTTCCTACGCATTGCTTTCCATTGAAACAGTGGCTTTGCAAAACAAATTTAGATTTGCACATCAATCTATTTCAAAGTTAATGTTTAAGATGTGCTTTTTACTTTTAACACAAAAATATTGACCACTTTATGTATTTGATGTGACATTGATTTTTGCATTAATGCTTTATCAGAAGTGTTCAGTGCCTACTGTATTGCCAACTCCAACTTTCTTTGTTAAACAGAAGAAATTAAGCAATTAAATTGTTGTTCTGTTTTCATAGTGGAATTAAAAATGTATATCTGTTTTCTTTTTTTTGCATTTCTAAAGTTTTATTTTACCAACAGAACTTTTGCAATAATAAAAGAACTCAAAAATTATTTTTAAATAAAATAACACATCTGATATGGGCAGTTTATATACTCCAGGCCAGAATTGGAGGAGAGTCTTCTGGGGAATCTTAGAAAGGAGAATAAAATCTAAGACTAATGAAGTTGGGGATCTTCAAAGAAGGAACCTAGTCGCAGCATCCTGCAGTCCTCTGCTTACCTGGGCAGGAAAGATATTGCACCCTGCAAAAAAAGCAAGATGCTATCAAATGGAACGGTAGGAGAATTTGAGAGTAGATTAGCGATAAGAACATACAAATCTAAACCAAGAACAGAAGCAAACAGTTACTAGTTCAAGTGGGTTTTTTAAAGAGTGTAGAAAAGGATGAGAAAATCATACATATGACCTGGCTCAGGTGTTAACAATGTTTACGCCGTCCTAATACAGTATATTCAAATACCCAGGGTGGGCCAAGGGTGGGCCAACCAAAATCACTTACTCTTACTTTATGTTGGGATGAGGAATTAAGAGGGATGGAGGGGAAAGCGGTTACAAAGAGAGTCAAATTCTCAGCTCTCATTTTGGGAAGTCAGTAGTTAACACATAAAACCAAAAAAGTCAAGAAGTACTGAAAAAACTGTTAAAAATTAAGAAGTAGCAAAATAAACCTGTTAATTAGAGGCATGGTAATAAATAACTAGAAAAAAAATTAGCTAAGAGTTAAAAGGGGGTTGTTCCCAGCAAAAGGAAAGCAGGTAGGGCAGTCAGGAGCTGATGCTTTTTGTAACAAGCCTTATAGAATTATTTACTTCTTAAAAGTGTGTACATAGGTAAGTTTAAGTAAAATAAAACCAAACTAGGACCTATTACATATATAATAGTATAACTCAAGAATTGTTAAAACTATAAATGACAAATTTAGTGTATTCTGTTCATGACAGGAATATTGCTACAAGCATTAGATTCAACTACCAATTCATATGACTCCGGCTTATATGGCTATACCTTAGACTCTTGGAAGGGATCAGGTTTCAACATCCCCTCCCCCGTTAAGGACACTGAACAGGGAAAAAGACAGGGATTTGCTGACACACTATTTCAACAGCATCAACATAAACAGCGTCACATTGTTGAGCTCTCCCTAAAAAAAGATATGCAATTATTTGTCCATCTGACTAAATTCCCCAACTACAAATGAGATGAATGGTAGCATAAGAGAAACAGCTCTGAACTTGGAATGTAATCCTGGGATGATTAATCCCAGTCAACCCAAATCACTCCATCTATAATAGAACCTCTCTAGAACTCTAGCCCCTGTACTCTGTTTTTCTTTTTCAGCACTTGTTATTTATTTTACATATTTTTTCTTTATTTGTCATTGATATCTCCTCATTAGAACTTCATGAAGATAAGTACTTGTTTTGTTTTGTTCTAATTTTTTAATTTCAACTTTTATTCTAGTTATAGGGGGTACACATGCAGGTTTGTTACATGGGTATATTGCACCCAGGTAGTGAGCATAGTGCCCAATAGGTGGTTTTTCAAGCCATGACTTGCTCCTTCCCTCTCCCCTCTAATAGTCTCTGGTGTCTATTTTTCTTATGTTTATGTCCATGTGTGCTCAGTGTTTAGCTCCCACTTATAAGTGAGAACATGTGGTATTTGGTTGTCTGTTCCTATGTTAATTTACTTAGGGTTGTGGCCTGCAGCTGCACCGTGTTGCTACAAAGGACATGACTTCATTCTTTTTTTATGGCTGCGTAGTTTTCTACGGTGGATATGTACCATATTTTCTTTATCCTGTTCACCAGGGATGAGAACCTAGGTTGATTTTATGTCTTTGCTATTGCAAATAGTGTGGCAATAAATATACAAGTGTATGTGTCTCTTTGGTATATTTATCTATTTTCCAATGGGGATATACCCAGTAATGGGATGGCTGGGTCGTATGGTAGTTCTGTTTTAAGTTCTTTGAGAAATCTCCAAATGGATTTCTTTGACAGTAGTTGAACTAATTTACATTCCTGCCAACAGTACATAAGCATTCCCTTTTCTCTGTAGCCTCGCCAGCATCTGTTATTTTTTGACCTTTTAATAATAGCCATTCTGACTGATACGAGATGGTATCTCATTGTGGTTTTAATTTGCATTTCTCTGATCATCAGTGATAGTGAGGATTTTTTTATATGTTTCTTGGCCACTTGTATGTCTTCTTTTGAGAAATGCCTTTTCATTTCCTTTGCTTAATTGGGTTGTTTTTTGCTTGTTGATTTGTTGAAGTTCCTTATAGATTCCAGATACTAGACCTTTGTTAGCTGCATAGTTTGTAGGATGTCTGTTTACTCTGTTGATAGTTTCTTTGGCTGTGCAGAAGCTCTTTCGTTTAATTAGCTCCCACTTGTCAATTTTTGTTTTTGTTGCAATTGCTTTTGGGGACTAAGCCAAAAATACCTTGCCAAGGCCAATGTCAAGAAAGGTATTTCCCAGGTTTTCTCCTAGGATTTTTATAGTGTGAGGTCTTACATTTAAATCTTCACTCCATCTTTTTGTATTGGTAAAAGGCAAGGGACTAGTTTCATTCTTTTGCATATGGCTAGCCAGTTGTCTCATCACCATTTATTGAATATAAAGCCCTTTCCCCATTGCTTATTTTTGTTGGCCTTGTTGAAGATCAGATGGCTGTAGGTGTGTGGCTTTATTTCTGAGTTTTTTATCCTGTTCCCTTAGTCTATGTGTCTGTTTTTGTACCAGTATCATGCTGTTTTGGTTACTGTAGCCTTATAGTATAGTTTTAAGTCAGGTAGTATAATGTCTCTGGCTTTGTTCTTTTTACTTAGGATTTCTCTGACTATTCAACTCTTTTGGCTGCATATGAATTTTAGAATGGTTTTTTCTAATTCTGTGGAGAACAACATTGATCATTTGATAGGAATAGTGTTGAATCTGTAAATTGCTTTGAGTAGTACGGTCATTTAACAACATTGATTCTTCCAGTTCATGAGCATGAAATGTTTTTCCATTTATTTGCATCATCTCTGATTTCTTTCAGCAGTGTTTTGTAGTTCTCCCTGCAGAGATGTTTCACCTCCTTGGTTAGCTATATTCCTAGATATTTCATTTTCTTTGTGGCTATTGTAAATAGGATTGGATTCTTGATTTGACGCTCAGCCTGGCTGTTATCGGTGTATAGAAATGCTACTGATTTTTATATATTGATTTTGTATCCCAAAACCTTGCTAAAATCATTTATCAGTTCTAGTAGCATTTGGCAGAGCCTGTAGGGTTTTCTAAGAAGACAATCATGTCATGAATAAAGGGAGATAGTTTGATTTCTTCTCTTCTTATTTGGAGGCCTCTTATTTCTTTCTCTTGCCAAACTGCTCTGGCTAGCACTTCCTGCTCTATTTTATTCCAAGCTCCCTCTCTGCTGCATCTAGCACAGAGTAGAGGCTCAGTAAACATTTGTTAAATGCATGAATTCATTTGCCCCACTTGTAATCACCATGGCAACACCATCTTAGTTCCAGCTGCTATAACAAATTACCATAGACTTGGGAGGTTAAACAACATTTATTTTTCACAGTCCTTGAGGCTGGGAAGTCCAAGATCAAGGTGCTGGCAGATCCCACGTCTGATAAGAGCCTGCTTTCTGGTTTACAGGTGACTGGCTGTCTTCTCACTGTGTTCTCATGGGAAAGAGAACAGAGGAAGCAAGTTCTCATGTCTCTTCTTATACGGGCACGAATTCCATTCATGAGGTCTCCACTCTCATGACCTAAACCTACTAAGACCCCATCTCCTAATACCATTAATTTTAGGGTTAGGATTTCAACATATGAATTTTGGGGGTACATAGGCATTCAGTCCATAACATGTACTCACTGTGATTTTGTCGAGGGAATGGCTTTCCCATGGACTATCAGAGATGGGGCTGTTATTTCTAAGGGGATCTGCTACAGTTTCCATAATAATGGGGGAACATAACACACAGAATAACTTAAAATGACTGCACAGTCCCAGCACCACCACTCTCCTTCCCCTGTCTGCATAGCTCCTCAACTACCTCCAAGCCACTCCATGGTGTACGTCCCTTCCTTGGCTCCCAAATTCCAATGAGCAAAGGCTCAAAACACTTCCTACACAGACAACCCACATATAAACCTTCCAAGGACAAGCAATAATTAAAATACTCATGGCAGTATAAATTTAGATTTTGAAAACAAGCAGTTCTCCAAAGGAAACAAAACCTGCAGGGACAGCCTTTAACAATAGTAGAGCAGGACGGTGTAGTCCTCTGGGGCCATAACTTCAGACTTCTCCATTCTAGACCAGAATCTCTCTACATATAACTATGGAATGATTTTTCAGGACAAGAGGAATATATCCCTCAAAGATACACACACACACACACACACACACACACTCTCTCTCTCTCTCTCTCTCTCTCTCTCTCTTTCTCTTTCTCTCTCTCTCTCTATTGGTTCCGTTTCTCTGGAGAACCCTGATTAACAGACTTCTCTTAGAAACCAAAAGCATTTCTTATAATTTTTAATGAACAGTTTTTCAGTTTCTCCTAACAATAACTTCTAGTTCTAGACCAAACCAATGTCACCTTGTTACATTAATATAAACAGCTGCCAACTAAATCTGATATTCCAATAATCATTCATGTTTTGGAGCCACAGACTGCAAAGAAACAAGCTTATTTATAAAGGGGCCTAAGGATAAGGAAAGAGACTCGGGAAAGAAAAATAACCAGGGGGATTTTTGTAAATAGTTTAAGCCATCCACTTCAAACTAGGTAGCAAGATTAGTTGCCTTTTCTGGAGAGAAGACTCTCATATTGATCATGTAACAAAAAATACGATGTACTGAAAGAAGTCATGCCAAACAACATTATGGAACATATTGATAAATGTGTGTCTCCTAGCAATTTCACATTGTAAAATGAGATTGAAATACGCAAGAAATGGGATTAATAGCCCCGCTTGAGACGTGGCATCTTGAAAAATGGCTGATGACCATGTCAAGTGTGACTGCAATTCTCAAGAAGCTGCTTGCCATAGAAAACCCTTGTGATTTGTTATGAACTATGGCTTGCGAATGGAACTGGGCCCTTTTATTGTCATTTGCATTTCATTACCAGATATTATAGATTGGAAGAACTGTTTAGGAATCTCACGTGGGAGATGTTCTAGGACTTTGCATGTTAACTGCAAAACATTTATGAGCCCGTTCTTCCTTGATGATACCTAGGTAATAAACTAAAATGACTACTTGTACCAGAGTGATACAAATTATTTATCCTTGACTTCCAGCTCCTTAAGAGGCTCTACTTTTTTTTTTGTGGTCTGGGAAAATAAAGATGATGCCTCTGTCACAGAAGTATAGTGTATCTAAGCCACCCAGTGCTATGCCCAGCACTTGATATGCATTCAACACATGGTACCTATTATCATTACGAGTATCTATCTAGGAGCTCTGCCAGTGATGATGCTTAAAAGACTATGCATCTTGCCTAATGTTAGAGCCATGGTTTGCGCCTGTCCTTGACATTAGAGTGACACTTAATTCTGCAAATGGCGAGTTCTTCTGTGCTAGTCACAAATCTTTGCTTATCTTTCTTCATCCTGGCGTCTCTTCCCAGCCTCAGGTCTTCCTGTTCTCCTCTATTCCAACAAAGCTGGGCTTTGCACTAACTACCCAACACGCTTTCTCACTGCTGTTTCCACCTGTCTCGCTGTCGTAGATGTCCAGCCAAGTGTCCTACACCCTATATAATTCCCTGTCAAGAGCCTGCCCTTTCTTCACGCTCCATAGAAAATGCTCCTTCATGAAGCCACCTCCTTTTCCAGTGTGCTCCTTTCTTCTATTAAATCCCTGCAAGCATCTCTTACGAGGCTATGCTTTTTCACTAAAGGATATTACTGTCGTACATCATAAGTTCCTTGAAGATGGGTTTTGTCCCATAATCTTGGATTCTTCACTATTGTTTTACCTTATTTTTTTGGTATACAAAGTGCTCAAATACTAGTTAACTTGAAAGGCAACTTCTAAAGTAAAATAATATTTTAATATATTCTGTAGTGATGATGATATTGATTATATCATCTACCTTGGACTTGAGTTCATAGCATCTGGTGCACAGTTTGTGGTTATTAATGTTAAATAAGAATCACGACTGTCTCTAAGCATGGATCTCACTCATTGGGGCTGGTAACTGTACTTGGAATATTTTACTTATGATCCTCCAGTGTATATATTTTCTTTCTTTAACAAAATAAAGGGATTTCTTTAAGTTTTGCTTTTAAAGTTCAACTTTCTATCACTGCTATCTGTGAACTCCAAGTATGTTAAATCATATTTGGTTCCTGGTTTTCCTACATTTATTACCTGTCCTCTCCCACTGTCATAAGGTAAAAATCAATTGATTATATCATTGGAAAAATTCACCATGGGTGACAAGAGAAAAGGAAAAAGAATTTAGACAGTACAATTTTCCTGGTTGACTCAGCTTCAGGTAGGGAATCCACTGCAATTATACTCAATAACTTAGAAAATTTGATGGCTTGAAGTCCTCATACTTTTCTTCAGTCTGTGAGTCACTTAACTCAAAAAATGTCTCTGAGTTTGACATCTAACAAAACCATGGAAACAATACTAACAGTGCTTCCTCCAGCCTCCCCGTAGAGAAGTATGGTGTTTTCAGAAGGAGTATGCATAAACAAAGCCACCTGGTTTATAGAACTATCCCCATAGAGTGATTCCCTTTCCATTCTCATTCAACTCTTCTCAGTTCTTCTGAATTCTTCAAGGAAGATGTCTCCACTTGGGAATACTACCATTTTTAATAAACTCTCTGACATGTGCTAAGGTTCAATTGAAAAAAAAAAGAGAGAGAGAAGGCTTCAGGTACAGAAGCTTCAGTAAGTCAACAGTACACAGGAAGAATTTAAGATTGTTTTATTTTCATTGAACTTATCTTTATAATTACAGTCTATATATAATGAATTGGGTTTTCTATTTAAATTTCTTCTAACAAACATTTGTTTAAATCTAAGCAGTGAATCAATTAAAAGGAAACATTGGGTACATAGAGAAAAGAGGTGTAAGACAAAAATCGTGGCTCTGACTCTCTATGGCCATTAATATGACCAGAGTCTGGAGGAGACTGTCCCGGAGGCTGTGCCACATTTTATCTGGAGAAAGCTTAGAGAAGAAGAGGAAAGGTTTAGCATGGATTCAGAAAATATTGAATATGCTCCTAAAAACAAATAATTATTCAATCTTCTCTACATGGGCTTCTTATTTTCTAAAGCTTTTATAATTTTCTTCTTCATTGCTACGTATACTTATTTCAAGTCTCAACTAAATCTAGACTCACAGCAAAGAAATTTAAAAATACTGTCCAACTCACCCTAAATTCCCTCATGTCAGTTGCATCATTTTGTATATATTTCCTTTTTTCTACACTAGATTATAAACCCCCTGGGAGTAGAGGCCATGTATTCTACTTAGAAAATGTCTGAGAGTAATGCCTGCATTTGTAGATGCTGTTTAATTTCAGCAGTGGCTGTACGTGTATTTTTAGCAATTCAAGTTAAATAAGATCCAAGTGATAGAAGTCCATTCAACTTTACCTTTTACAACAGGTGGTGAAAGACCTGGAGAACTGAGTTTAGTTGAAAAGATACTCACAAGTCTCATCTTGAACGCATGTCATGACATTTAGAAGCTAGAAGGGGCTTCAGAAATACACTCGTCAAACTCAATTCAAGAAAACTGAAATCTAGGTACATTAAGGTCACAGATGTAAGCATTCATAGTTCTTAGAATGAGTCTAAACTTCAGAACTGGAATGGAAAGTAATTCCCAGTTCATGCTGCTTCTTCATTGTAAGATTAGTTATTCAATAAATATTTATTGCACACTTGCTGCGTAGATGCCAGGCGTTCAAAGTGATTATGTGAACTCTGCCTATAAGCTGCTTAAACTCCAGAAGCTAATATATGTTATTATTAGGTAACACTGTGAATAGAATGCTCAAAAGACCTTTAGAGTTGTTTCAATAATAGAAAGTCATATAAAATGTCAGAGTGAGTCAAGCCTTCTAATATGAATCCCTTATCTTGAGAAAAGCTGGTATGATTCACATAGACGCTGCCTAAAAACTTTTTCTTGTGAAAGGTCTGCCAATAGCCCAAGCACTAAGCCAATTCAGAGTGTTTACCTTTCTGAAATTTCAAGCAGGCAAAATAGCGCTTTTTGTATGGTATACTTATTTCAAGAGGTAGAAAAATCACCAACTCCCTGCCTCTGAAGGTCTGTACTTAACTGTGTATTTAATGCTGACAGGAGCCATCTAAACATTAACATCATTTCTACTGAAAAACAAATTGGAATTTAATTCTGTTATTTTCATGACTGTTCATCATCATTCCCCATTCCTCAAAAACTTGTCAGACATTGTTTTGGATCTCTCTTCCCAAATATTCTCTGATCTATACTTTCTGGAACTAATATTCATGATGATAATGTCACTACTGGTATCTAGGTCATTTATATGTGATGTATAAACCATGGCTTACTATTTTTAAATCTAGTTAGTTGTATATCTGAATGATCGACTAATAGATATGTGTGTGTGTCTATGTATATAAAATAAAAAATCTTAACCAAACAGAAGTTGTGCAAAGCTTTTTAAACCATTAACCTGATGTTGTGGAAAAAACAATGAGTCTAAGAGAGAAAATAAAGTTGTAAAATTATTTGGAGATATTCCTCTATTTCTAGTTGAAACAAATTTCCAACTAAGAGTAACTGAGATTATTTTTATATGGGTAAAGTAAAATGGAGAATTAAGATAATAGTCTGAATACATTAGAATACCAACCCATGTCTCAATCATATTCCTATTTATTTGGGTAATTGTCTCCATTTTTCAACATATTTTATTCTTTACTGATACATAATACTTACACATATTGATGGGGTACATATTTTGATACATGCACGGAGTGTGTAATGATCAGGTCAGGGTATTTAGGATGTCCATCACCTCAAACACTTATCATTTCTTTCTGTCAGTAACATTTCAAATCTTCTCTTCTAGCTATTTTGAAAAATACAATATATTGTTCAATATATTCACCCTACCATGCTATCAAACACAAGAACATATTGAGCAACATTTTGTATAGGTGTAGACTTTACTTAACAGAAGTTAACTTTTGCCCCATCTTGAAATAATATAAAAACAATGTTATATCCCTTCACTATCTATTAAGTAGATAATTTTGGAAGTGGTATTAGTCATTGTTTGGGCAGATATGTTTTGAACTTATAATTTTTTGTTATTGCCAAATTTAAAACATTTCCATTTGAATTCTGATACTTTAGGTTTAACTGTCCATAGTTACCATTTTTAAAAAGTAAAGTACTAAAGATGGTTTCACCCTAAATACTATGAAGCATTTAAAAAAGAAGTAACACCAATCTTTCTTAAACTCTTCCAGAAAATTAGAAAAGAAAATAACACCTCTTAAATCAAGCTATGAGGCCAGAATTACCCTGACACCAAAGCCAAAGGCAGCACATAAGAAAAGAAAACTATAGATAGATATCCCTACTAAATATAAATGCAAAAATCTGCAACAAAAGACTAGCAAACCAAATGAAGTAGCATGTTAAAAGAATTATACATCATGATCAGTTGGGATTTATCCCAAGAATGCAAGGGTGGTTCAACATATACAACGAATATAATACACCACATTAATAGAATGAAGGAGGGAACACAAAATCATCTCAAGTGAAGCTGAAACAACATTTGAAAATATACAACATGCTTTCATGGTAAAAACACATGATAAACCAGGAAGAAAATGGAACATCCTCAACATAATAAAGTATATTTATGAAAAACCCATGGCTAAAATATACTCAACGGTGAAAGACTGAAAGCATTCCCTCCAAGATCAGTAATAAGACAAGGATGCTACTTTCACCACTTTTATCCAGCATTATACAGGAAGTTCAAGCAAGGGCAATTAGCCAAGAAAAAGAAATAAAGGGTATTTTAATTGAAAAGGAAGAAGTAAAACTATCTGTATTTACAGAAGACATAATCTTGTATGTAGAAAATTCTCTCTCTCTATGTATATATATAAATATAATATGTATATAGATAGATAGATAGATATATTTAAAGCACCACAGTTCAACAACAAACAGACAAACAATGCAATTTAAAGATTGGAAAAGGAAGTGAGCAGACATTTATCCTAAGAAGGTACACAAATGGTCAACAAGCACATGAAAAGATGTTCAAAATCATTAGTCACTAGGGAAATGCAAATTGAAACCATAATGAGATACCATATCACATCCACTAAGGTGGCTATAATTTTTTAAAAAACTGAAATAACAAGTGCTGGTGAGGATGTTGAGAAATTGGAAGCCTTGTGTATTGCTACAATATAAAAGATGCAGCCACCATGAATACTACTTTGGCTTTGCCCCGAAAAGTTAACATGGAACTATTAGATTACCCAGCAATTCCATTCTTATTTATGTAGCCCAAAGACTTGAAAACAGGTATTCAAACACATATCTGTACACCAATGTTCATATTAGCACTATTAACAAATAACCAAAAGGTGAAAAATCAATAAATTTACATCAGTGAATGGATGGATAAACAAAATGTGGTATATCTACCCAATGGAATGATTCACCTGCAAAAAGTAATGAAGTACTCACACATGCTATAACAAGGCTGAACCTTGAAAACATTATGTTAAGTGAAAGGAAGCAAACATAAAAAGTCATATATTGTATGATTCTAAATGTCTGGAGTAGGAAAATCCACAGAGACAGAAAACAGATTAGTGGTTGATGAAAAGGATCCCCTTTGGGTTGATGAAAATGTTCTGGAACTGGGTAAAGGTTATGGTTCCACAACATTGTGAATACATTTGTACACATCAAAATAGTTAATTTTATGTTATGTGAATTTCACCTCAATTAAAAAAGGCCCTGCCCATTGAAGTGTTTTAAAAGGTTTTTTAAAAACTAAATTAAATTTAATTACATGTTCAAAAAACTCTCAATTTCTAAAAATCTCCCCCAGCTATTTGTCTGAGTACTTTGTTTTTTGTTGTTGTTGTTGGGTTTATTTGGGAGAGAGGATTTTCTGTTGACTTTGTTACTGTCTTTTGTTTTATTATTTTTACTTCATTATTAAGTCAAGGCTAAAGATGCAGCAGGTAGTGAATCAACCAAACAAAGCAATCTTCTAAGCTTCCTAGAAGACGTGTAACAAAATAGAACCACCGGATCTAGGAGTCTTTAAAACTCTACCATTTGACTATTAACTCATCTAATAGTTTTGCATACTGATCTAATTTTACCGATTAGATCACAAATTATTAGTGTGAAAGCAGAGTGCCTGTGACTGCTGTCGGGTTCCCTGACATCACGCTGGAAATGGAGTAGAAGTTTTTTCAAACCACCTTTGACTGATAACCTCATTTTCATTTATTTTAAAAATAACAAAATATAAACAGGAATCTCTTCCATCAATGAAAATAAATTTGGAATGTTTTTAAACTTTTGTTCAGAAAGTTAAAGAATAAGGATTGATCTACATTGCTGTGTCTTGAATTGGCCAGTATTTTCACTTAGACCAAGGACATTTCTAAGGTCACCTCTCTTACTAAAGAAAAAGTGTTGACTTAGATATTTAAGGTTGAAAACTGCTCCTTCAGAAGCTCTAAAATCACTTGAGCAAAACTAGAAGCAGCCTTTATGCAATCAGCACATTTATTTACACACACCCCCGTCTTCATTCTTCAACATGCCTTTGAAACACTAAACTTGACAGTTTTTGAAAAGCTGCCCTGTTTCAACATATAACTATGAGAACTCCCATAACGCGGCTGTTTCCTTTCAAAAGAAGGAATGCAGGGGAATTTTTTTTTCTGTTTAAACAAATGCTATTGTTTTATTGCCAATTTTGCCTTAAAAGTACTCATTAACAAATCCAGCAGCCTTATTAGGTATTTTTAATCAGTTAACAATGCTGTCAGAACTTGTTATAAATTCCTATACACTATGTGAAAGTTCCTCAGTTTCCAGTCATTCTTTGAACCTGTGACTACATACCTGGCAATTTCTTTCCAGAATGTTGCTTTAATGTTGTACAGTCACCATATGATGATAGGATTTCCTTAAAACAGTACAAAAAGTAGTTTCTTCAGTTTCATGCTATGAAATTGATGATAAATTCATATTATATTGTCTTAGTATCTTTTCAGCTTCTAAATCTGTATATGCTATAAAATGGCACATTAAATATTAACTCCACAAAGTTGTAACCACTCGGGAATGCCAGCAAATCCCCCTTCCAGCCTGCATAGAAAAGGGTCTTCTTCCCAGACACAAATCAATCTGAAGTTTATTTAAAAGTTAACAGATGATATCCCACTCATTTATGTCAATCTTCTGGAAATCCTGGCCTTCATACTGTTTTTACTTTCAAAAATTTCAGCATAATGTGTTTTCAATACTTGAAAGATTCAAAACTGTTTGATGTTTTAATGCTCCATTAATTTGTTATTTTAAGAAACATAAAACTAAAATGTGACCTGAAAATGAACTAAAAAAAATTCAAATGCTGAACACACAAACTAAAGCCTAATGGAAAAATTATTGGCAACATTTATCCCATCAAAAATTGTCTATGACTTCAGCCTCCATACATATATTTTCTTTTTTTTCTTTTTGATTCAAAATCATCCCTCTATCATCTATAGTATAACCATGGTATAATCAAAAACAAACAAACACTTGTAAATTCAAGATTCTGAAAATCATATTTCAACAAAATCTTTGCTGCCCTTTCTCATTTTCTGAAAACAGAAAGTTTAAAAAATGAGATTGACACCAAATTAGAATTAAGGTTATGCATTGTCATTCACTCAGCCACAAAATACTGAGATATTGTGTTCTTACCATGTCATCAACATTATATTAAGTATTCTGGGGAATGTAAATGAAGTACAAAATGTATTCTTGGTCTCTGCAGTACAACCAAAAGAATTACCTCCCCTACATAAATGTCGAGTAAGTGTTATTGTGGGACGACATCACCTAAACAAGAGAAGAAAAAAAGGACTCTAGTTTCTAAATACAAGCTTTGTATAGGTATTTTTCAGCAAGTTGACCATAAAAGGCTAATCATCCTAAATCCCCCTTCTGAAGAAATTGAGGGCAATTAAAAAGATGAAAATCTACTAACTTAATTATCACAAGGATATGAAAATTACCCCACAAGTCAATCTTGGCTTCAGAAGATATCAATTATTCCCAGCATACACCGACCCCTCCTCTTTTGGTAGGTCATTAACCTTGCCCAGTAGAAAGAAATCTCCGCATTGCATACTACTTAAAATGTTTTGCCTTGAATGTTATAAACCAGTAGTCCTTCAATGCCAGGTAAATAACATACCATCAATCAATACTAGTGATGAAAGTCAAGGGTAAAAAGGCACTAAAACATGCTGCATTTCAAAGAAGCTGAACAACCATCCATCATTTGTCTTTGACACTTAGAGAGGTAGCAGTTACACTGAATTGGAGGGCACAGGAGGGGAAAGAGGAAGAACCTCAAAATAAGCAATATCCAAGTCAACAATTTGCTACAGAAAAAAAACATTTTTTTAAAAAACTAACTGAAAATACAGCCATGCTTTGACTTCAAATTAACAGATTTTTACATAGTAAAGTTTATTTTTTACTAGGGATTAGGAAAGACAAGAGAATACATAATATGCAAAACGCAGAGTTTCTGTCTCAAAATTTTTTAGCTAATCATAAATGTAAAATCTACTTTTATGGTTATATATTATATATGACATACATAATATTATACTTTCACACTTATATAATATTACATATATATAATGATCATTATAGAAAAATTTTGTAGCACCAGTGCATATTTTAAATAATATGGGAAATGTAATTGTCTGTAATCCAGTTTTATATCATTTCGAATTGTGAACTCGAAAAGCACTACAAAAATTCATTGTATTTAAGACATTAAGGATTGGCAGCATTAGGTTGTAAACATTTCAAGCTGCAAATCTGTCTTAGTTTGAAGTTGGGTAGTATGACATAATCCGTCTTAGTTTGAAGCTGGGTAGTATGACATAATCTGTCTTAGTTTGAAGCTGGGTACTATGACATATCCAGCTTCGTTCTTTTTGCTTAGGATTGCCCTTGTTATGCGAGCTCTTTTTTGGTTCCATAAGAATTTCCAAACAGTTTTTTCTACTCCTGTGAAGAATGTCAATGGTAGTTTAATGAGAATAGCATTGAATCTATAAATTACTTTGGGCAGTATGGCCATTTTCACAATATTGATTCTTCCTATCCATGAGCATGGAATGTTTTCCCATCTGCTTGCGTCCTCTCTGATTTCCATGAGCAGCGTGGTTCTCCTTGAAGAGGTCCTTCACTTCCCTTGTTAGCTGTATTCCTAGGTATTTTATTCTCTTTGTGGCAATTGTGAATGGGAGTTCATTCATGATTTGGCTCTCTGCTTGTCTGTTGTCAGTGTATAGGAAGGCTTGCGATTTCTGCACATTGATTTTGTATCCTGAGCCTTTGCTGAAGTTGCTTATCAGCTTAAGAAGCTTTTGGCCTGAGATGATAGGAGTTTTCTAGGTATAGGATCATGTCATCTTCAAACAAAGACAGTTTGACTTCCTCTCTTCCTCTTTGCATACCCTCTATTTCTTTCTCTTGCCTGATTGCCCCGGCCAGAGCTTCCAATACTATGTTGAATAAGAATGGTGAGAGAGGGCATCCTTGTCTTGTGCCAGTTTTCCAGGGGAATGCTTCCAGCATTTGTCCATTCAGTATGATATTAGTATTGGCTGTGGGTTTCTCATAAATGGCTCTTATTATTTTGAGATATGATCCTTTAATACCTAGTTTATTGAGAGTTTTTAATATAAAGGGATGTTGAATTTTATTGAAGGCCTTTTCTCCATCTATTGAGATAATTATGTGTTTTTTGTCTTTAGTTCTGTTTATGTGATGAATTACACTTATTGATTTGTGTATGTTGGACCAGATTTGCATCCTGGGGATGAAGCCGACTTGATTGTGGTGGATAAGCTTTTTGATGTGCTGCTGGATTCTGTTTGCCAGTATTTTATTGAGGATTTTTGCATCGATGTTCATCAGAGATATTGGCCTGAAACTTTTGTTGTTGTTGTATCTCTGCCAGGTTTTGGTATGAGTATGATGCTTGCCTCTTAAAATGAGTTAGCGAGGAGTCCCTCATTTTCAATTGTTTGGAATAGTTTCAGAAGAAATGGTACCAACTTCTCCTTGTACCTCTGGCTATAGTAAGAAAAACAGCATTGTACTGGTACAAAAACAGGCACATAGACCAATGGAACAGGACAAAGAACTCAGAAATGAAACCACACATCTACAACCAGCTGATCTTCAACAAGTCTAACAAAAACAAGCAATGGAGAAAGGATTCCCTATTTAATAAATGGTGCTGGGAGAACTGGCTAGCCATATGCAGAAAATTGAAACTAGACTCCTTCCTTACACCTTATACAAAAAATTAACTCAAGATGGATTAAAGACTGAAATGTAAAACCCAAAACTGTAAAAACCCTAGAAGAAAATCTAGGCAATACCATTCAGGACATAAGCATAGGCAAGGATTTTATGATGAAATCACCAAAAGCAATTGCAACAAAAGCAAAAATTGACAAATGAAATCTAATTAAACTAAAGAGCTTCTGCACAGCAAAAGAAGCTATCATCAGATTGAACAGACAACCTACAGAATGTGAGAAAATTACTGCAGCCTATCCATCTGACAAAGGTCTAATGTCCAGAATCTACAAGGAATTAAAGCAAATCTACAAGAAAGAAACAAACAACCGTGGCCGAGTACAGTGGTTCACACCTGTAATCCCAGCCCTTTGGGAAGCTGAGGTGGGCGGATCATGAGGTCAGGAGTTCGAGACCAGCCTGGCCAATATTGCGAAACCCCGTCTCTACTGAAAATACAAAAATTAGCCAGGCATGGTAGTGCACACCTGTAGTCCCAGCTACTCAGGAGGCTGGGGCAGAAGAATTGCTTGAACCCAGGAGGTGGAGGTTGCAGTGAGCCAAGATTGTGCCACTGCACTCCAGCCTGGGTGACAGAGCAAGACTCCATCTCAAAAAACAAACAAACAAACAAACAAAAAAAACCCCACTAAAAAGTGGGCCAAGGACATGAACAGACATTTCTAAAAAGAAGACATACATGCAGCTAACAAACATATGAAAGAAAGCTCAAAATCACTGATCACCAGAGAAATGCAAATCAAAACCACAATGAGATACCATCTTATGCCAGTCAGAATGGTGATTATTTAAAAAGTCAAGAAACAACAGATGCTGGCAAGATTACAGAGAAATAGGAATGCTTTTACACCGTTGGTGGGAATGCAAATTAGTTCAACCATTATGGAAGACAGTTTAGTGATTCCTCAAAGATTTAGAACCAGAAACACCATTTGATCCACAAATCCCATTACTGGGTATATACTCAAGGAATATAAATCATTGTGTTATAAAGATACTTGCACACATACATACATACATGTTCATTGCAGCACTATTCACAGTTGCAAAGACATGGAATCAACCCAAATGCCCAACAATGATAGACTGGATAAAGAAAATGTGGTACATATACACCATAGAATACTATGCAGCTATAAGGAATGAGATCATGTCCTTTGCAGACACATGGATGGAGCTGGAAGCCATTACCTTCAGCAGACTAACTCAGGAACAGAAAACCAAACACCACAAGTTCTTACTTATAAGTGGGAGCTGAACAGTGAGAACACATGGACACAGGGAGGGGAACAACACACACTGGGGCCTGTCAGGGAAGGAACTAGGTGGGGGGCGGGTGGAGAGCATCAGGAAAAATAGCTAATACATGCCATGCTTCATACCTAGGTGATGGGTTGGTAGGTGCAGCAAACTACCATGGCACATGTTTACCTATGTAACAAACCTGCACAGGTACCCCGGAACTTTAAATTAAATTAAATTTTAAAAATCTCTGTTTAAAAAAAAAATTTTGAAAACAATGAAATAGACCATCATTCCATTTGTACTTTTTGGGCGAATTTTTCAAATTCACTGGACAAACAAGACTGAGAAATTTATTGCCATTTATGAAGGGGGAGAAAAATGCAACCACGACTCGATTTTCAGTATATTTCCCTTTAAAATGTCTGGAACATATTCATGCTTCATCCATTACTGAAGCCCTTACAAAATATGTAGTCCACTGTAAATGAGAGAAGTTAAAGAAGAGCTTCTTTAAAAATAGAATCAGCCGGGCTCGGTGGCTCAAGCCTGTAATCCCAACACTCTGGGAGGCCGAGACGGGCGGATCACAAGGTCAGGAGATCGAGACCATCCTGGCTAACACGGTGAAACCTCGTCTAACTAAAAATACAAAAAATTAGCCAGGCGTGGTGGGGGGCGCCTGTAGTCCCAGCTACTCGGGAGGCTGAGGCAGGAGAATGGCGGGAACCTGGGAGGCAGAGCTTGCAGTGAGCCGAGATCGCACCACTGCACTCCAGCCTGGGCGACAGAGCCAGACTCCGTCTCAAAAAAAAAAAAAAAAAAAGAATAGAATCAAAAGTATTTATGGGTCAATTCTACTTTTGGTGAGAATATTTGGCTTAAAACCAGTCACCTTGAGTTCCTACCTGCAAAGACAGGACACACCACAGAAGATGCTGAAGGAGATGCTTGAACTTGGGCCAAGAGAGATAACAAAGCCGGAGAACAAAAGACAAACTTGAGCCAAAAGGCACACTGCCAATTATTTTACTGTAAAAGAAAGTTCATACACAAATATGTTCATGAACAGGAAACCAAAAGGAATTTTTGCTCTCAGATTTGGGGATAGTATGGAGTAAAGACAAAAAATTAGAAGTAGATAAGATTTTATAGAGAAGAGAAAGAAGATTTTATTTTCAAAGAGTCTGAAAATGCCTTGAGCCGAACAGGATGGAATGCAATGGAAATATCACTGTGACAAGAATGAGTTAGAGAAAATTAATATCTACATGCACCCGATAGCCGGTAGCCCCACTAACAACACTAAAAGAGAAGTTCAAGATTTCTGTGATCAATACACAGCACTCAGCAGTAGCCATTCCAGGTCAAAGTCAAAGGATAATTAATTGATTTCTATTAATGTTTTATTCTTTTAAGATATAGTACATAGTGATACTTCAAAGTAATCATTTTTTAACTTAAACCAGAACAGAAAAGTCCTTAATGCAGTTATTTCACAAACTACTCATAAGCACAAAGACGATTTTGCTAAAGGTGAAAATATGCCAAGTGCTGAGTGAGAATGGCCCCATAACATTCCAGGAATATTATGGCCAGAATATTAGGCTGTTGCCTTTCAACATTTTCTCTTACACTTTGTCTTAAATGAAAACATGAGCATATGGGAGGAGTACTTGTTTCAAGTTTCTGCTCTGGTTGTTTTATTCAAATTCATTTGACATAAACAGGAACTCGAACACAAACAGCTCTGCTTTCATCACTTGTCAATTTCCGGGGAAACTCAATGAAGCTGAATAGTTTCTAGCATGAAGTGTTTTTTTTCCCTCCTTATGAGATGTACCAAGAAGAAAACAGATACAATCATATCTTTTAAGGAGGACAAATAATTATGTCTTTATTTCTGTCATTTGAGTTACACAAATAGTTTTTGTGGAAAGGCTACACTCCATTATTAATGAACACTATATTGGAAAATTTTTTTACTTTCAATCAGATTTCCTAGGCTTAGCACTGTTGATATTATGGGCTGGATAATTCTTCATTTTAGAGGGCTGTGTCTGTACTTAGTAGGATGTGTAGCAGCATCCCCGGCCCTTATGCACTACAGCCCTTCCCCCATTTGTGACAATCAAAAATTGCCAAATGTCCCCCCCGCGGGGATAAAACCATCCCAGTTGAGAACCACTCTTTCAGTGCAAGTTTTCAAAAAGGTATAAGCCTTCACATTTACAATGAATTCCTTACACTTATCACATCAATGATGACAAAAGTTTAGGTTATAAAAGTATAGTCCTAGTTAAGGATATAAAAGGAAAGAATGATGTTTATAATGGAATGTTCACACCCTCATTGGTCCCCATTCAAACGCCCCATCCGCTGGCCCAAATCCCTCACCCCCAAGAACAAACGGAATTATGTCTCAGTTCAGTCATCTAAGGTGGGATATTCAGAACAAAAATTCTTGTCTCTGGCTCTGAAGGATTATTATTAAGGAACTGCACCCAGGAGGAAGCTGGGGGAAAGTGGGGGAGAGAATAGGGAAGGGGAAAAGCCAGGCAGAGTGTGATTTGAGTTGTGATCCAGCCCCTGCCGGGTGCTTGGAGAGCTGTGGAGCATAAAAATGGCACCAGAGGGTAGGTCTTACCGACAGTAGGTCCTCCAAGGAGGCCAGGGGCCTTTCATACCTGCATCCATCAGCCATTGGCTGCGGGTCACTGGGAACGGCACCATCGCCTCCAGCACAAGGCAGCTCCCCTAGACCAAGGGCTGTCCTTCCAAGGCTGCAGCTGCAGCCCCTGTGCAGTCAGCACCCACAGCAGCTGGCGGATGGGAACTCACGCACAGACAGGGATCTGGAGCTCCAAAAGAAACAAGCAAAAAACAAACAACCGTCCCACACACAAGGTGAGTTCTCAGCAGGCCTCCTCGCTGGCCAGGGCTTAGAGGGACACCCTACTCTATGCTGTTTAGTGCTGAGCATCTTGTTGGAAATACAGAATGGAATGGTGTTGTGGAATGCAAGGTGGGTGTCATAACATAGCATACATTTATTTTTTAAAGAATTAATAGACACCAAAAAATTCAGTTAAAAATTGTGAGGCATGACAATTTGATTAATCCAATTATTATTATATATTATCTAGCACAATTATAATTACAGGAATCTTTTAGAACTGAATCAGAAGGTATATATATCTTCATTCTTATGGCAAATAACTTGCAAAATTTTATTTACAAAAAATAATGAAAAGGCTACAAAATTATTTTTTGCAGAATAGCAAATTGAGATGTTTGGGTTTTTATTGTTTTTTGTTTTTTACTTGCTGTAGAATTTTTTCCAGAAGTATTTCTCTAAAGCAGCTGGTCTTAAACTATGTAGTCTAAGGATCTCCCCTATATGTTCTTAAAAAATACTGAAGACTGCAAAGGCAAAGGCTTCTGTTCATGTGGATCATATCTACCAATATTTATTATATTCAAAATTGAGAAATGTATACATATTTATTATTTATTTTAAAAAAACAATAGTATGGTAACGCATTACATGTTAATACATATAATATATTCTCATGCAAAATAACCATATTTTCAAAAGAAATGAATAAGAAGAGTGGCACTATTTTACATTTCGCAAATCTCCTTAGTGTCTGGCCTAATGGAAAATTTGAAAAGTTTTGTTTAATGTGTATGAACAAAAGCATTCTCACACAGTTATGTGTGAGGAAAAGTGAGAAGTTGTTGTTGTTGTTGTTGTTGAGACGGAGTCTTGCTCTGTCGCCCAGGCTGGAGTGCAGTGGCCAATCTTGGCTCACTGAAACTTCTGCTGCCTCCTGGGTTCAAGCAATTCCCCTGCCTCAGCCTCCTGAGTAGCTGGGGCTACAGGCACCCGCCACCACACCCGGCTAATTTTTGTATTTTTAGTAGAGATGGGGTTTCACCTTGTTGGCCAGGATGGTCTCCATCTCCTGACCTCGTGATCTGCCCACCTTGGCCTCCCAAGTGCTGAGATTAAAGGCATGAGCCACCACGCCCAGCCAGGAGAAGTATTTTAATTGCCTTTTCAGATAACTGTGGATATGGTTCTTTACTACTACACCAAAACTTGACAATTCACAGTTTTTAAAAGACAGCTGCGATGTGGGATATGAAGCCATATCCATGATTCTTTGTGCTCCGTTCTATTAAAATCCGCTGCTCTAGCATACGGCTGGCTCAGGTCTTCTTTACTGGGGCATGATTTCTGCAATATCATACATGGTCATGTGGAAAATATTGGTTTACTGAAGTATATAGATCTTCCAAACATTGACAGATTTCATTCATCAATACAGACAAAATCACGTTTTGATGTTACTACTGACCTTATAAGAAAATATTGGTTTACTGAAATATATAGATCTTCCAAACATGGACACATTTCATTCATCAATACAGACAAAATCACGTTTTGATATTACTACTGATCTTATAAGAAACATCTGTATTAGGAAGCAGTCAGTTTCACAGAGGCAGACACAAGTTTTCCAAAATTCTAATTTTCGCTGGCAACACACATTATTAGTGATTTTACTTCAGGTGAAAAGCTCACTTCATTTTCAAGGAAATGTCTACAAAATAAGCAAGTCTGAATAACCATAGTTGGTCTGAATAAGATAGTTTGTCCTCAAACAGTTGGTTGGAGACTTTTCCTTAGGTCATCCACTGTATTCAGTAAGCAGAAGTGCTTTATTTACACTTCTCGTTTCTTCTAGATGTGTACTCCGAGACCAAAATTAATACAATTAATGATTCTTATTGTTTCATCAAGAATATTCTTCAGCAAAGCTAGCAGATTGCTTTGTTCTGTTTGTTTTGTTTTGTTTTATTTGAACGCACATGTATAGCAATAAAGAATACAGTAACCAGCACTGCAGCTTGGTGCCACTACCGTGATCTGTGCTAAGGCACCAGCAGTTTTATGCATCATTGCTTTTGTGCCATTGCTATAAAATGAGTGAAAAGGGTAAATAATGTTGGTATCACCCTAAGCCTTGTTTTGAGTTGCAGATCCCCTGAAAGCTACTCAGAAACCTTCAAAGGACCATCAGAACGCACTTTGAGAACCACTGTGATGGATAAGCCTTCAGAGGCGTTTCCCTGCGATTCCCACTGCACTCTAATCCACTGGCTTTCCGCACAAGGGCAGCTCCAACAAGGAACCCAACCAGAGTTGAGGGAAATTCAAGTTTGGTAAGTGTTGTCTCCCTCAAACCCTCAAGGCCACAATCTCAAGGATCTACTGCCTTCTAGGCTTTTCCACTCAATCTCAGAGGTGTTTAGGGAGAATTGATTTCAAAGAGTTTAAATCCAGGAATGGGGTGGGAAGACAGAGGATGAGAAACAGAATCCGGAATGGGATATGCGGCAGGGATGGAGATGTTGAAATTAGGAGTTCCTAAGCAAAGCTTTGTATGTATTATCTCACATACTTGATAAAGCAAAAACCAATCAATCAGTCAAATTACTTCCATGGTTACTTCCCATTCTGCTATTCTCTAATTAGAATGGAAACATTTACTGTCGTCCAGTCAACATACAACTACCTTTTTAGTCACAAAAATCCATTACTCGTTAAAATTTGAGTAGTGCCGAAGAGACAGTTGAATATGGAAAAGTCATTTTGCATCCTTGCAGTCAAGCATAGCACATATTACAGCTATCTTTAGAAGACGTAGGAGCTCTGAGGAAATTTGTTCGTATCACATTTAGGAACAATTAATCCCTAAAAGACAATGTGATACTTGAAACATTGCCAGTACAATCTTTCCAGAGACTGTCATTAAATCTTTACTATATATGGAGGGGAAAAACTGCCTTGTGTGGAATTTACCTTTATTCTATTGAAATACTGAGAATTCCTATTTGATCCAGTCTGAAGCCCTGTTATACTCCAGCAGATCTTTGGGATGACTTCCATGCCAAATCCATCCACTATACAGTATTTCAGTTATTTTTGCTACATTGCACACTGGAAAAACGTGTGCAGAATCTTGGGTGAACTGTGTAATAGGATTTGTAACATTTGTGATGTGGATGACATTTTAAAGTGGCTTTACAGACAAAGCATCCTAGGGAACTACTGTGAAGCCAAATAATGAGAAAGACACACAAGTCTATAATCAATAAATGTGATGTAAAATTACATTGAAGAATGCAAAATTAAAATAATAATGTGCTAAACTGTTTCTTAATTGTATATGGAAAACATTACAATCAGTAAATTAGAATATTTTTGTAGGCAATTGTAAGTCGAAGTCTTGAGATTTCAGGGTTATGCTTCTGGATATTAAACATCCTCTTGCAATCTAAACAGCAACTTATTAAAGAACTTAAGAGAAAAAGTTCCTTAATAGATGATGTTAAGTAACGTTTCACTTTTTCCCCTCAGAATTCCTTATGTTTTGCTGACACAGGTGCAGAGAAAGCTGATCTTACTGATTTTTTTTTTAGTTTCCAACCACTCTATTTACATTTTAAAAAGTGAGGAAAAGTTATCAATTTTTCACCAATTCAAATGAAAATTCGTTTTTCTTAAAGTAATTATCCATTGCAGAAGAAACACAGTCTGATACTAGAATTATTCATTTTCTCATTTCTTCATTTCTATTTTCAAATGCAAATGAGGCCTACGTCTTTTTTTCTATCTTACAATGTAAGATTTCATTTGAGAATGAAAACTATTTATAGAACCTCCTATATATTCAGCATATTAAATATATATATTTAACATAGAAAGCATATGAAACATATTAAGCACAGTGTTTTTATATTTTACACTACTGTTCCAATTTTAAGTTAGGTGCAAACTATCTTGAATCTTTTGACATTGTGGCTCTTTGTGATCTCTCTATCAAATTAAATCTTTATCCTAACAGAATAGTTCTTCTACTCTTCTCTAAAGATCTCACACTGAAATTGATTCAACAAAATCTATCACAAGTTTGTAGATGCTTGATCACAATAGTCTCTAGAATATTCTTCCAAAGAAGACCTACAGATATTTCCCCAATGACTCATTTTCCCAAGAAGGTAAAATCTATCTTACTGACTCCCTGCAAATATAATTTGCAGAAAAGAACCTCTACTGATTTAACCATTATGTTACTAAAATAACTGAGTTAGCAGTTAAATAAATAGAAATCCCTTTAGCAAGGAATATTAATGGTTTTTATTATATTTCCTGACTCTGGATAGCTCAGTGCAGTTGATGAAACACTATTTCCCTTAGTACATCAGTGCTTCCATGGTCATATCTTGTCACAAGAAGGAAATACAGAAGGATATGATTGCCCATCTCTGTTCCTCCATGCTATCAAAATCTAACACACGAGATCATTTTAACATCAACCGATACAATATCCCACTAAATCAGCAACTTCAACCTAATAATTTTGAAATGAAATGTGACCTAATCTCAAACAAGTTCTGCTTTATTGAGATCCTTTCATCCTATCATCAATATACGATCCAAAGGGCTTCCTTTAAAGATCATGAATTAAAGTTGCATTATTCCCACCCTGAGGCACACTAAAGTGAACTCCCAAAAATGAATGAATGATATATGGTCCAAGCTCAAAACCATTCAGTGCAGTTCCAAAGCTGTGAGTCCTAATTCATGAAGAGACATTAAGTGAAATGATATAAATACCATGAGATAATATTCTGGAGGGCATCAACAGAATAACTTATTAATTCAATATAATTAAATTGGAATATCATGTAATAAATAAAAATTAAAATATGAGCTCAAGAAAATTAAAAGAGAAGGAAAGATGAGGGTCACAACAAATGATTGTTGAACAATTGTTACCAAAACACCAAGGGTTCAGTCTCAGTCCTGCACTCACTGCAAAGAAAGCCAGTCACTGAGACGATGAGTCTTGCCAAGGGAGAAGGCTTTAATTGGGTGCTGCAGCTGAGGAGATGCTGCAGTCTCAAATCCATCTTCCTGACTGATTAAAACCAGGGGATTATATAGCAGCCAAGAAATGTAAGAATGAATAAGAAAACAGGAACTCGGGAGGAGCAAGGAAGCGATCCTGGTGAATGAGGGGTCCGGCAACCGGTGTGGTGATCTGGGTTCAGTTCTTTGATGCTTTTTGTGAGAGGCCTGAAGGTAGTTTCCTGAGGAAGGAACTCAGATAAAACAAACATAAGTTTCAAACTTTAACAGCAGAAGGTTCCATTCCTGTGTTTATCCAAAAGCAAGTGTCTATAGGACTTTTGGGTTGCTTTCACAAGGAATAGGTTACATGGGACATCTCTCCACGTTGAAAATCGGGAGGATGTGCTTTCCATCGTAGTGATGCCCTCAGAGCAACATGGACAACATCACATCACTGAATTTTTTTTTGGAAAGGATGAAATAACAGAGGACAGATCTTCTATGCAGGAAAAATAGAATTTATAAGAAATTATAAAAAAATTAAAAGAATAGGATTTATTTTTAAAAATGGACTAATACATGAATTTAGCAAGGCCACAAGATATGTGGTCAATATTTAAAAATCTATTATATTTTTATATGCTATTAATGAAAATTGGAAATAGCATACAAAGTATAAATTACATATGGTTAAACAAAATATGTACAATACCTGTACACTGAAAACTACAAAACTTGCTGAGAGAAATTAAAGAAAACCTAGATAAATGGAAAGATATACCATGTTCACTAGTCAGAAAACCTCAATATTGTTAAGGTAAGTAGGTGAACTACAGTTACAACGCACTTGCAATACATTCCCAGCAGGTTCTTTAAAAAATAGTAATAATAATAATAATAAATGTTTCATACACTTGAATTTTATTTTATTTATTTATTTATAACTTTTATTTTAGGTTCAGGGGTATATGTTCAGGTTTGTTATATAGGTAAACTCATATCATGAAGGTTTGTTGTACAGATTATTTCATCACCCAGGTACTAAGCCCAGTACCCAATAGTTGTTTTTTCTGATCCTTTCCCTCCTCCCAATTCTGACCCTCAGGTAAGTCCCAGTGTGTGTTGTACCCCTCTTGGTGTACAGGTGTTCTTACTATTTAGCTCCCATTTATAAGTGAGAACATGCAGTATTTGGTTTTCTGTTCCTGCATTAGTTTGCTAAGGATAATGGCCTCCAGCTCCAGCCATGTTCCTGCAAAGAACACGATCTTGTTCTTTTTTATGACTGCATAGTATTCCACGGGGTATATGTACCACATTTTCTTCATCCAATCTACCATAGATGGGCATTTACACCAATTCCATGTCTTTGTTATTGTGAATGGTGCTGCAATGGACATCTGCATGCATGTGTCTTTGTGACAGAATAATGTATATTCGTTTGGGTGCATACCCAGTAATGGGATTGCTGGGTTGAATGGCAGTTCTATTTTTAGCTCTTTGAGAAATTGTCACACTGCTTCCACAATGGTTGAACTAATTTACACTCCCCTTAACAATGCATAAGTGTTCCCTTTTCTCCACAACCTTGGCAGCGTCTGTTATTGAAGTCTCCAAAAGCAATTGCAACAAAACAAAAAATTGAAAAATGGGATCTCATCAAATTAAAGAGCTTCTGCACAGCAAAAGAAACTATCAGTAGAGTAAACAGACATAAAGAATGGGAGAAAATATTTGCAAACTATGCATCTGTCAAAGGTCTTGTATCCAGAATCTATAAGGAACTTAAATAAATTTACAAGAATAAAAACAAACAATCTCATTAAAGAGTGGGCAAAGGACATGAACAGACACTTTTCAAAAGAAGAAATACATGCAGCTACAGGCATATGAAAAAAAGCTCAATATCTTTGATCATTAGAGAAATGCAAATCAAAACCACAATAAGATACCACCATCTCACACCACCCAGAATGACTATTGTATCACTTAATTTTTATCTGCCAAAAAATTTAAACAAACAGAAGTCATTTTATTTAGTTAAGCTCATGTTTATTCTCTGTGGATTTTTAAAATGTATTACATAATTTAAACAAGGTCTGTCCTGGTACTCTTGCCTCTCATTCACACTGTACATTTGCCATTCACTATTACCTCTCATTGTTACACATTTTTGGAAGAAGAGTCTGTTAATTATGTTCTAAATTCTAATGCCAATGTTCTTAGAATAATAGGAGTAATTATTAAACAGTATCTTTTAGGAGAAACTATTAAACAGTATCTTTTAGGAATGTATTATTTTATTAGCATTTGTGGCTTTTTTTATTTGTTTGTTTGAGACAGAGTCTCACTCTGTCACTCAGGCTGACAGCCCTATCTAGGCTCACTGCAACATCCACCTCCTGGGTTCAAACGATTCTTGTGCCTCAGCCTCCTGAGTAGCTAGGATTACAAGCATGCACCACCACACCCGGCTAATTTTTGTATTTTTAGTAGAGATGGGGTTTCACCACGTTGGTCAGGCTGGTCTCAAACTCCTGACCTCAGGTGATCTGCCCACCTAGGCCTCCTTAAGTGCTGGGATTACAAGCAAAAGCCACCTCGCCCAGCCATCTGTGGCTATTTTAAAGTATGTACAAAGCACAATATGCTCCTATATTCAAAATTTGGCAAATACCATGTGTATATTTTTAATACTATCTTAAAGGCACCAATTGGTGTTAAAGTGACCTAACTTTCAGTATCCTTGCATTTTAGGTTCCAATTTTAATGCAAATCTATTTTGTTTTCAGATTGTCAAGGCTACTTTTTGTATGAGAGACAATGAATACATATATATATATTTCATCACTAATAAGAATAGAATGAGGAGAAAAGTAAAAATATTGAAAAACAGAGGCAAAATTTATTATTTTCAGACACTATTTCATTATTTTTCTAGATACTTAAGAAAACAAATTTTTATAAAATGGCACAAGAGTTCAAAGTGGCTAGATTCAATATCATCATATAAAAATAAATAATTTTCTAACCATCTACTAACCATCTAACCATCAATTAGAATGAAATAGAGAAAAAAAAAACTCAAAATAGCAGCAAAAAAACACAAAATGAGAAATAATCCTAATGAGAAGAGTAGAAGTTCTATTTAAAAAGGCTATAAATGTTGTTTCATACATTTTTTAAAAAGTGAAAAATAGAAATGGGTAACAATATTTTGGTTGAGAAACTTCAATATTACAGGAAATTCAATTCTCCCAATTTAATTTGTAAGTTCTGTGCAATCTTTAACTTCATAAAGAATTTTTATCAGCAGCTTGACAGATTATTCTCAGGTTCATCTATAAGAGAAAAACAAATAAATATAATGGAAAAAAATGTTGAAAATAAGCGCAGTGAGTGAAGACATATACCTACCACATATCCACATAAATCTCTAAGAATTAAACAATAGATACATAGCCCTATGTAGAGAGACCAAAAATAAATCCAAGTGTATATGCTGATTTAAATTATAATAAAGATGGCAAATATGTAGGAAAAAGTCTAGACCAACTGAATAAAGTATAATTAGGTGAATAACTGTTAATATGGGAAAAAAGTAACAAATATCCCTAATTCATACCATACTCAGAAAAAAAGTCAAGGTGTTTTAAAAGTTCAATGTTATACTGAAAAACTAACAGTATAAGAAGAAAAAGGTCAGAAATACATATATTTATACTACTGAAATGGAGAAGGGCTTCTAAAATAACAACCAAAACATATAAATCATATAAAGGACATGATCTTGTTCTTTGACCACTAAAAACTAATAAATTGTTCAATAAAAGATTGTCCATTGACAGATGAATGGATAAAGAAAATGTGGTGTATAATACAATTGAATATTACTCAACCTTCGAAAACAACAAAATCTTGCTATGTGTGAAAACATGGATGTACCCAAAAGACATAATGTTAAATAAAATAAGCCAGTTACAGAAGGACAAATATTGCATGATTCTACTTATATGAGGGATGTGAAATACTCAAAATTATAGAATCAAAGAATACAATAGTCATTCCCAGAAACTCAGGAGTAGGGGAAATGTGGAGTTGTTGTTCAATTGGTGTAAAGTTTTAGTTATGCTAGTTGAATACATTCTAGAGATCTATCTTACAACATATTGCCTATAGTTAGCAATATGATGTGGTGCATTCCAAAATTTGTTAAGAGGTCTCACATTAAGTGTTCTTACTACAACAATGAGGGGAAAGGACACAAGAAAACATTAGAAGGTGTTGGTGTCTGATATGGTTTGGCTGTGTCCCCACCCAAATCTCATCTCAAATTCCTATGTGTTGTGGGAGAGACCCAGTGGAAGGTAATTGAAACATGAGGGCAGGTCTTTCCCAAGCTGTTCTCAGCGTAATGAATAAGTCTCACAAGTGCTGATGGTTTTATAAGGGGGAGTTTCCCTGCACAAGCTCTTTCTTTGCCTCTCGCCATCCACATAAGATGTGACTTACTCTTCCTTGCCTTCTGCTATGATTGTGAGGCCTCCCCAGCCCTGTGTAACTATAAGTCCGTTAAACCTCTGTCTTTTGTAAATTGACCAGTCTCAGGTATGTCTTTATCAGCCGCGTGAAAACAGACTAATGCAGTAAACTGGTACCAGTAGAGTGGGGTGCTACTGCAACGATAGACAACAATGTGGAAGCGACTTTGCAACTGGGTAACAGGCAGATGTTAGAACACCTTGGAGGGCTCAGAAGAAGACAGGAAACTGTGAGACAGTTTGGAACTCCCTAGAGACTTGTTGAATGGCTTTGACTAGAAGGCTGATAATGATACAGACAATGAAATCCAGGCTGAGGTGGTCTCAGATGGAGATGAGGAACTTGTTGGGAACTGGAGCAAAGGTAACTCTTGTTATATTTTAGCAAAGAGACTGGCAGCAATTTGCCCCTGCCCTAGAGATTTGTGGAACTTTGAACTTGAGAGAGATGATTTAGGGTATCTGGTAGAAGAAATTTCCAAGCAGCAAAGCATTTAAGAGGTGACTTGTGTGCTGTTATAAGCATTCAGTTTTAAAAGGGGAAAGGGGCATAAAAGTTTGGAAAATTTGCAGCCTGACAATGCAATAGAAAAGAAAATCCCATTTTCTGAGGAGAAATTCAAGCTGGCTGCAGAAATTTACATAAGTAACTAGGAACCTAATGTTAATTCCCAAGACCATGGGGAAAATGTCTTCCGGGCATGTTAGAGACCTTTGAAGCAGCCCCTCCCATCACAGGACCAGAGGTTTAGGAGGAAAAAAATGGTTTCATGGGCCAGGGCCGGGGTCCCTCTGCTGTGTGCAGTCTATGGACTTGGTGCCCTGCATTCCAGCCACTCCAGCTGTGACTAAAAAGAGCCAAGGTACAGCCCAAGCTGTTGCTTCAGAGGATGTAAACCCCAAGCCTTGGCAGCTTCCATGTGGTGTTGAGCCTGCAAGTTCACAGAAGTCGAGGATTGAGGTTTGGGAACCTCTGTCTAGATTTCAGAAAATGTATGGAAATGCCTGAATGTCCAGGCAGAAGTTTGCTGCAGGGGTGGGGTCCTCATGGAGAACCTCTGCTAGGGCAGTGAAGAAGGGAAATGTGGGGTTGAAGCCCCCACAGAGTCCCTACTGGAGTACTGCCTAATGGAGCTGTGAAAAAAGGGCCACTGTTCAGCCAGGTGCAGTGGCTCACACCTGTAATCACAGCACTTTGGAAGGCCAAGGCAGGCAGATCACCTGTGGTCAGAAGTTCGAGACCAACCTGCCCAACATGGCAAAACCCTGTATCTACTAAAAATACAAAAAATTAGCCAAGCATGGTGGCAGGCACCTGTAATCCCAGCTACTCAGGAAGCTGAGGCAGGAGAATCTCTTGAACCCAGGAGGCAGAGGTTGCAGTGAGCCAAAATCACACTACTGTACTCCAGCCTGGATGACAAGAGTGAAACTCCATGTCAAAAAAAATGAAAGGAAAGGAAAGGAAGGGAAAGGAAGGGAAGGGAAGGGAGAGGGAGAGAGAGAGAGAGAGAGAGAGAGAGAGAGAGAGAGAGAGAGAGAAGGAGAGAGAGAAGAAAAGGAAAGGAAAGGAAAAGAAAAGAAAAGAAAAGAAAAGAAAAGAAAAGAAAAGAAAAGAAAAGAAAAGAAAAGAAAAGAAACAAGGGCCACTGTTCTCCAGACCCAAGAATGGTAGATCCACCAACAGCTTGCACTGTGCCCCTGGAAAAGCCACAGACAATACCAGCCTGTGAAAGCAGTCAGGAGAGGGGCTATATCCAGCAAAACCACAGGGGTGGAGCTGCCCAAGGCCAGGGAATGCACCTCTTGCATCAGCGTGACCTGAATGTGAGACATGGGTCAAAGGAGCTCATTTTGGATCTTTAGGATTTGACTGCCCCACTGGATTTCGGACTTGTATGGGGCCTGTAGCTCCTTTGTTTTGGCCAATGTTTCCCATTTGGAATGGCTGTATTTACCCAATGCCTGTACCCACATTGTATCTAGGAAGTAACTAACTTGCTTTTGATGTTACAGGCTCATAGACAGAAGGGACTTGCCTTGTCTCAAATGAGACTTTGGACTGTGGACTTTTGAGTTAATGCTGAAATGAGTTATGACTTTGGGGAACTGTTGGGAAGGAATGATTGGCTTTGAAATGTGAGGACATGAGATTTGGGAGGAGCTTGGGTGGAATTACATGGTTTGGCTATGTCCCCACCCAAATCTCATCTTGGATTCCTACGTGTTCTGGGAGGGACCCAGAGGGAGGTAACTGAATCATGGGGGCATGTCTTTCCCATGCTGTTCTTGTGGTAGTGAATAAGTCTCAGGAGATCTGATGGTTTTATAAGGGGGAGTTTCCCTACATAAGCTCTCCCTCTTTGCCTGCCACCATCTATGTAAGATGTGACTTGCTCCTCCTTGCCTTCCACCATGATTGTGAGGCATCCCCAGCCCTGTGGAACTGTAAGTCCATTAAACCTCTTTCTTTTGTAAATTGCCCAGACTCGGGTATGTCTTTATCAGCAGTGTGAAAATGAACTAATACAGTGTCTATTTCTTTGATTATGCTGATAATATCACAGGTGTTTTCATATGCCCAAATTTATCAAATTGTATACATTAAACATGCATAGTTGATCCAGGTGCACTGGCTCACACCTGTAATCCCATAGTGTTGGGAGTCTGAGACAGGAGTATTGCTTGAGGCCAGGAGTTCAAGACCAGCCTGGCAACACAGGAAGAACCCATCTGTACAAAAAATTTAAAAATGACCTGGGTGACATAGTGTGCACATGTATTCCTAGCTACCCGAGCTGCCAAGGCAGGGGATCACTTGAGCTCAGGAGTTCAAGTACAGTGCAGTTCTTCATATATCAATTACATCTCAATAAAGCTCTTAAAAAATTAGTTACATTTGAAAGAATACCATTCAAAAATGTTAATCATAAACAACAGATCAGCAGAAATTCTTTGGAATGCACATAACGACAAATAATAAACATCAAAAGGTTAAAGCTTCTGCAATCATTAAGAAAAAATGAATGAAAAAAGGTAATGTACAAGGAAAGGCAATTCATAGGAAAAGTACACGACTATAAACACATTAAAATATTTAACTTTGTTAGTAATCATAAATGCAAATTAGAACAATGAGATATAGCTAGGATTTTTACCCTTTAACTTGACAAAACTTGAAGATTTATAATATCTGCTGATATTGAGAATTACAAAACAAGAACTCTTACAATTGCAGCTGGCTCACATGTAATTTGGTACATCAACTTTTAAAGTTAATTCGAGATTATCTCTCAAAATCAAAATTGTGTCATCCCTTCAACTCAATCATTCCTCTTATAGGAATTTATCTTACAAAAATACCTGCATGGGTGGCCAGATAAGGTCTGGGCAAGACTGAGATGGTCAATGATTCATTCTTTATGATTATAAAAAATTGGAAACAACCTAATTTGTCCATTTGCAATGAGAAGATTTAATAAATTATTGGTATTTCCACACAGTGCAATACTAGTCAGTCACTGAATGTCCCAATATAGGAAGATCTCTAAGATTTACTATGTTCAAAACAAAGTTATATATATAACACGGGGCACTGAGTAAAATGTATTTGTATATGCATCTGTGTATGTGTGTGTATTAATTTTTCCACCAACATTTACTTCAGGCAATATGAGGAAAAGTAGGACCACAACAGTATATAGAACAAGCATATCCTGCACTCCGCCTTCTTATGCTTACAATGCAGAAGGCAAGAATGTAAGGCAGACAGTGGAAAGAAGCAAAGCAAACAAACAGAATTACAACAGAGTTCTTTTTCTTCTTTCTTTTTTTAGAGATGGGGTCTCACTGTGTTTCCCAGGCTGGTCTCAAACTCCTGGCCTCAAGTGAGCCTCCTGCCTCAGCCTCCCAAAGTGCTGGGATTATAGGTGCAAGCCGCCCTGGCCAGTCATGATCCTGCATAGTTTTAGTAAGGATGCAAACAGCATACTCTGGTTTAAAATACCGTGGAGTAAGGTCAGGCAGACTTCCTCCCGTTGGGTGGACAAGGCCTCTCTGAGGAATCTACCCCTAAATGGAACAATCACCAAAAGGCCGCTGAGTTACTCAAAGACTTAGGAGCCAGGGAGGAGGAGGGAGGCAACAGCAGGAGCGGAGGTGAAACAGGACGAGGGAGGAAAAGCCACAGAGTTCATAGGCACGTCTGTTGGGCCAAGGATATTGAGTGAAGAACTCTTCCATTTAACTTTACAAAATTCCTTACCGTTTGAAGTATGTATCAAGAGCGTGCATTCATGCATTATGTTATCAAAATATTCATAATTCATAATTGCCATAATACAATAAAAGTTAAGACTGGAGGGAAAAATAGAACTCAGACTCACAGGGCTCAAGATGCTAGCCTGGGAACTAAAATGTGGTCTTACGGGTTTATCTCAACTTCCAGTTGTGAAAAGAAACAGTGATTTTATTATAACTTCAGGGCCAGTCCATAAAGTGAAAGAAAGTTTAAGGAGGTCAAGGAATAAAAGAATGGCTACTCCCTAAGCAGGGCAGCCCTGAGGACTGCTGGCTACGCATTTTTATGGCGATTTCTTGATGATATGCTAAATGAGGGGTGGATTATTCATGAGTTTTCCGGGAAAGGGCTGGGCAATTGCCCCAGAACAGAGGGCTCCTGCCCTTTTTAGACCGGTTTTTAGACCACATAGGGTAGCTTCCTGACGTTGGTTGCCATGGCATTTGTAAACTGCCATGGCACTGGCAGGAGTGTCTCTTAGCATGCTAATGCCTTATAATCAGCGTATAATGAGCAGTGAAGAGGACCAGATGTCACTCTTTCACCATCTTGGTTTTGGTGGGTATTGGCTGGCTTCTTTACTGTAACCTGTTTTATCAGCAAGGTCTTTATGACCTGTATTTTATGCTGACCTATGTCTCATCTTGTGACTAAGAACGCCTTAACTCCTGGGAATGCAGCCCACTAGGTCTCAGCATCATTTTACCCAGCCCCTATTCAAGATGGAGTCGCTCTGGTCCAAATGCCTCTGACACTCTCCTCGTAGAGGTGAGAACAGAGTCTCAATGGGATAAAGTAGCTTGTCCAAGGGCATATCGCTGGCTGTGGACAAGTCAGGAATTCAACCCAGATGTGTCGAATCAATACTGGATTGCATTTCTCATATACAAGATAGGTTTCTATTGCAAATGTAACTTGTGTCACAGAGGATCATTGTGGAGAACTCGATATTTCGGTCTGGAAAGGACAGATGTGTGGTTTTATACAACCTACAAAACATGCATCAAAGGTTCTGAGCATACAATCCCAAATTCTGAGAACGATGCCATCAGGAGACTCAACCACCCTCTTGCAGAGTATGCCCCCTCAGGAAAGAGATTTTTCACCCCAAAATACGGCTCCCTGGGATAATGAATATTTTTAATTAAAACCCTTAGAAAACAACAGGCCTTGGAAGACACTTTTCCCTAGCTTCATGAAGACCAGAGGGACCCACCAGAAGAAGAATTGCTTTTTCCTTGTTATCTCATTTTCTCTTTCAAGAATATTTCCTTTTCCCCTGTTATCTCATGATCTATTTCAGGAAAGGAGCGGAAGAATGTAACCAGATCTCACCCAATCTTTTTACAAGATAATGCCCATCTCTCAGATTCACTGAACTTCCAAAGACAACCATTTACAAATCAGTCTCTGCCTCTTCCCCTCTGCCGTTCCTTCTCTCAAGTACCCACTCATGTTTCCTTGGTCGTCATTTAATGCCCCTCAACAGAATTACCTATATTCTCTCTCTCCCCTTCCTCTGAAAGGAGTTTATGTAAGTGTGTGGGCCCCATTGGGAAATTAGGGAATCACTCTGTGATTCTCCCCAAGCACATGGTGAATGAATTTGTATGCCTTTCCTCTTCTTAATTTGCCTTACTGCGAGTTGATGTTTTTTTTCAACAAACCCTCCAAAGGCAAGGGGTGAGCTTCTCCTTTGCCCCTGCACCCTCCTCCCCACCCTACCTGATGACCTTGTCAGAAGCTGACTGCCAAGCTAGGGGAAAGGCTCTTAGAACACTATTATGCTTTATTTGTCCTCCATCCAAATCTGTGACCAGGTGTTGGGCAAGCAAAGAGGACGGAATCAGTGCTGTCGCCTTCAGGGCCCCTGATGTGATGGAAGCAGAAAGAGGAGCACGATGGAGGGAGGAGGCTCACATGATGGGCAAGGGAAACGTAGTGGCACCGGAACACGTGTGCTTTGGAAAACAACACTCAAGGTGAAATCCATCTGTTCTTTGTTGAATGGCCTCACAGTGGTCTGTGGTATTTTCACAAGGCTTGTGTATATGACACAAACCCACAGCACGGGTGATGGGGCCATTGCAGCAATGGGGTCAGTCGTAGGGTCTGGCCCAGAAGCTGAAACAGGGACAGCATTTCTCCTATTGCCCCTTTCCCAACTCTACCAAGCTGTTAAGAAGATAGTTGGCTGGTACAGAAACTTCACACGGAAACATTCTCTGTTTAGGCCACATGTTCACGCACTCATTCATTTTTCATCCAATAAAGAGATGTTGTCAACTATATGGCAGAAATGGCAGCAGTACTCGGAACAAAGGACAGGTGTAGTACACGCCCTCACACAGTTTATGCATGGCCTAGGAAGGGAGGCAGGAAATCAGACAGGCAGCAGTACGTGTGTGCAAAACATAATGACGAGGAAGTAAATGGTGGTTTATAGGATGGGAACCTAGAGAAGACGAATGTAACTCAGGGTTTTTTTATGGGGGTGGGGATGGGGAAGAGTTGAGGTGAAGAGGAGAAAAATATTTCAGACAAAACAGTAAACACAGAAGCCTAGAAGCTAGAAAAATAATGGCATAGTCAGAGCTAATAACAATATTGTTATATAATACCTTAAAAATATCTCTAGATCCGTGGGAATAATCACTCAATTGAACTTTGTAGGCAATATAGAAAAGTTACAGTCCTTACTGCTAATAAATATGTTATATTTATATAATACTGTCATATTCCTACTTTGAAAGACTATGTCATCCTAGGGTAGCCAGAGGAGGGAACTTTGCTCTAGTTTCAGACAGACTGTGCCACGTCTAGGGATGCCAGCTATATATATATATAGCTGTATATATACGTATATATACATATATATGCTGTATATACACATATATAGCTATATATACATATATATGCTATATATACACATATATGTATATATAGCTATATATATATACACACATATATGCCATATATATGCTATATATATATGCTATATATATGCCATATATATGCTATATATATATAGTTATATATACATATATATGCCATATATATGCTATATATATATATAGCTATATATACATATATATGCCATATATATGCTATATATATATAGCTATATATACATATATATGCCATATATATGCTATATATATATATAGCTATATATACATATATATGCCATATATATGCTATATATATATTTCTGTTAAAACCAATTATAGGCTTAACGTCTGCCCAGGGTAACCCCAGATTCCAGTCAACTAGATTCACACCAAACTCTTTTGAAAAGATTGCAGCCAAGACCCCCAGATCAGTCAACAATGAGCAAAATCCACATAATAAATATTTATGGAAAGTCTATTCTACACGAGGATTGGTCCTTTCCAAGGATTTGCAGAGGACAATCACAAACCAGATGCAGAATCTTGGAACTGAGTCAAAACTAACAAGAGTTTTGAAGAGTCAAGAACTAAGACTGAGCTGACTAGAATTTTACCCTGCCTTCTCCTCTGGGTGGGTATCTTCAGGATGAAATGTTCCAAATATAATTCATTTACTTCCATGCTCCTGTTAGGCAACTGATCAACAAATAATGAAAGATTTACTATGTGCCACGTACATATGTGCTGGAAGAGGGGAACAAGAAGAAGAAGGTAGACCTAACTCCCCTGTCTGAAACTTACAAACTAGAGAACACAGACAATAAAGAAATTACACTTGTTATCAGTGCAATGAACGAAGACTGCAGGAACATATATCCGCAGGAAATAATCTGCTCATTGGGGAAAAGAAAGAATCCTGGTTTTAATCAAGTAAACCAGATTCCCCCAAAACGTTTAATAGTATCAACACAAATAATGATTATGCCACAGTTAGTTCACCGTCTGTATATAATTCTCAGAAATTGACTGTTTCCAATTTTCCTATAAATTTCATCGTTTTGCATAAAAATGCTCTAGGGTGAGAACGTTTTTTCCTTTTCTTTTAGGCTGTCTTCTTTAAGACTGCAAGTCAAAATTCCTAGGATGCCATTTTGACCACCCAGTTCTGAAAGTTTCTCTCCTTGACTGATTAGAGTTCAGATCTGACACTAAAAATCTTCCAGACCATCTGTCTTCCTCAGTTCTCCAAAAAGGATTTTAGACCAAATTTTTGGTTTTCATTGTTTTCCAACTCTTAACATTTGTGAATTTGCCTTACACATGAATAATGCAAAACTTCTAAAGCATCCCCTCTGGTGAGAATGCTTGTAACCCTCCAACACAAACAGGATTAATCCCGGAAGACAATTACAACAGTCAAGTTATTACTCACAACACCATGTGAACTCGGTGAAATGGGGTCTTGGAAACTAACAGAAGTAAATCATAATTAACCAAACGGAAGGGAAAATGCCGCGAGGAAGTGAAACTAAAGGCACAAGTCATTTGCCAAACACACTAAACTGCATAAATTTTGATGCAAAGTTATTAGTGTAAGGTGAGCACAGGATTCTAAATTGTTTACTCTAATTGCACATTTTAAAAAATACGGCCTGGATGCCCCATCACTACGGGATAGTTAAAAATTCATCTGGATGAATTGCCTAAGACAGGGTAGAAGAGCAAGTTAACGTGCATGTTTATTTCTTTTTCCTGCAAGAGTCCCTCACTCAGAGCCAAATCTCAACACATCCATCAGAGTTATATACACACACTTCAGAGCTATATACACGTAATGCACGAAGGTCTTTGACATCCTTTCATTATTCCATTTATTCCGTTCAATTATTCCATCAACCAGTTATTTTCATAATTTTTTCTTAATTATTTTGCTTTCCCCATTCTTACATCACCCCTTTTAAAAAACATGTATTCCAGAGATATGGGAATAAATTGGAAAGTATTTGGAACGTAATAAGTACCCAGTTTTGTCTACCTCTCATTGCTTTAAACTTTAATTTCATTACTAGATTCAGGCAGACACTGATGCCCACATCTTTGAATGTGGAGCAATTCAGCAAAGAAGTAGGGTTAGAGGAGAATTGCATTCTAGAGGCAGTGAGGATGCTTTCTCATTCCAGGGCAGTTGACCAGAGGTGCTGACTGGGTCCACGGCAGCTGCATTCTTCAGGACCTGCACTGGCCGTCATCATTCCAGGACACAAGAAAGACCCCGCCAGACTGTCCCCGATGGAAGTTTGGCTGTGGTCACCATGCATTGCCTCCTATAGAGCCTGCCTATTTTCCATGTCTGATTCTTCAGCTCTTCTGGCAATTCTGTAAATTACCCAAAATCCTTTCAATAAAATCTATTTATGATTAAACCAGCCAAAGTTGGTTTCTATTGCTAGCTACCAAGTACCCTGAGTAAAAGAGGAAAATTTAGTAAACTCTCACACCATTAGTGTGGTATTTCCTAGATGATGCTGAATGGTGCCCTAAATTTAAAACGTACTTATATTTCTCAGAAACCAAGTGTAAGAAGTAAAATACAGCTGGACTCACCGTACTGCATAGATCAGTCCCATTCTAATACCAGATTTCAAGTTGTCACAGAAATTCCACTTAATAACCCTGGAAAAATCCTTGACCTTAAACACTAATAAAAGAGGGCCCTTTTGAGATATTACATGCCTGGATTGAGCTGGGTTGAGTTTGAAACTTACTGGAATCAGGTATAATTCAGTCCAGATTCACGGGATCTTCCACAAGTAAACCAACACCAAAGGAAAACTTAGATCTTGAATACTCTTGATTAATTTCTCATCACTTTTTTATTTCATTAAATTTCTGCTAAAACAAAAATAGTGCCTGAAATGGACCTTCTTGAAATTCTCTTCATTTTACCTTTTTTTTTTTTTTTTTTTGAGACGGACTTTCGCTCTTGTTGCCCAGGCTGGAGTGCAATGGTGCCATCTCGGCTCACTGCAACCTCTGCCTCCCACGTTCAAGCGATTCTCCTGCCTCAGCCATCCTAGTAGCTGGGATTGCAGGTATGCGCCACCACGCCCAGCTAATTTTGTATTTTTAGCAGCGATGGGGTTTCGCTATGTTGGTCAGTCTGGTCTCGAACTCCTGATCTCAAGTGATCTGCCTGCCTCTGCCTCCCAGAGTGCTGGGATTACAGGCGTGAGCCACCACGCCCTGCCCATTTTACTCATTATTAACTGAGGTAATCTGATGGAATTTATGCTCTCCCACAAAGTTTAGATACAAAAATCAAAATTATTCTACTGGTTTCAGTTAGGAAATACTCAGCTGTGAATAGCAGAAATCCCCAACACTAACAAGAGTGTAGACTAGTCCGTCACCGCACAATGCCACCAGGAGCGCAGGATGCTCCCAGCTTCCCATGGTGCCATTCTTAGCAGACAGCTTTCCCCTCTGTGCTCATGACTGCAAGATGTCCTGCATTTCTAAATATCACTTTCACATTGCAAGCAGAAAGAATGTGCAGGGGGTGAAAGTAAAATGCCTTTTCTGGAGAATTCATTTTTAATATGAAAATGAAACTCTCCTTGGGAACTTCTGCTTTCATTTTCTAATCCAGACCTGTGTCCATGATCACAGTTAGCTGAAAGGCAGACTGGAAATTCAAGCATTTGCTTTCCAGAACCATGTACAGGAAAACAAGGATGAATGAGCTAAAATGAGTTTTAAGTGAGTGAATCTGAAGTATCTGTCATGCCTCATGACACAACTTTTTCCATTTTGATTATGTGGATTGATGATGCCAAGGTCTTAATGGAAATGTGGCCAGATTTTTGGCTTGTATTTGTCGTTATTTACTTGGCCCATAAGTAAGCTACGTTAATCATAGTTCTCATTTTGAGGCACATAATCACCAACATTCCTCTTTAGCTAGTTGTCTACTTTATTTCAGATACTTGCCTATATTAGTTATCTATTGCTATATAACAAATTACATCAAAAGTTAGAAGCTCAAAAGAGTAAGCATTATCTCCGTGAGTCAGGAATCCAGATCGTGGCTTAGCTGAGTGTCTGCCTAAAGCCTCTGCCAAGGCTATAATCAAGGTGTCAGCAGGGGCTGCAGTCTCCTCTGAAGACTTGACTTGGGGAAGATATTTTCAAACTCACTTACATGGTTGCAGGATTCAGTTGCCCACTGGCTACTGGCCTCCTTCATTTCCTTGCCATGTGGGTCTCTCCACAGCACAGCTCATAGCATGGCCGTTGAATTGCCACCAAGGAAGCTAGCAAGTGGGTAAGAGAGAATGACAGCAAGATGGAAAGCACAAACTCTTTGTAACCTCATCTTGGAAATGACATCTTATCCCCTTTGTCATATTCTATGCATTAGGCACTAGGTCCAGCCCATGGTCAAAAGGAGAGGATTTCGGGAAGTAGTAAATACAGCGAGGAGGGTTCAGTGGGAAACCATTTCAGAGGCTGCCTACCACATTATCTGTGCGATTTGGCACTAATTAGGTGTTATTATGAAAGTTAAACTTGGGCTGTACTCTAAGTAACTCATATGTTAACTGACTATAACTTGGATACACTGAGAAAAATCTAGAATTATTGTTGAAAATTGGTTTAGGAAAATATTATTGTAAGTTCTAAGCTCAGTTAAATTTTGCTAAAATAATTCTTTGAAAATCTACTAACTAGATTTACCCTAGTCCCTTTTCCAATCTCTAAATTGTAGGAATGATTGGATTATTTGTTACAATAATTCCTGAGAAATTTTAGAAATGTTGTCACTAAGAATAATGTCTTATTTTTATTATATTTTCAAAGTTGAAAATTAAGACATTATTCACAATTATATATTTATATAAAATATAAATTATATTTTCAACTTTGAAAATATAATAAACCAATGGTATTGATTTTAGATGTCTGTCCTGTATTAAACAACTTTCCTCAGTTTTATCATTACTAAATTTTCTTTTGATTTTACTTGGTTTTCTATTTAGAGGGTCCTATTACATGTAAATAAATAAGACTGTTTTTGTGACCCTTCTGATCCTTAGGCATCTTATTTTTTTCTTACTATCTTGCATTAACAAATACCTCCAATGTTATGTTAAGCATTTGTAGTAATAGGGTACATCTTTCTTTCCTTTTCCCATTTTTAAGTGAGTGAATTTGTAGTATCTGTCGTGCCTCATGACACAACTTTTCCATTTTAATTATGTGGATTGATGATTCCAAGGCCTTAATGGAGATGTGGCCAGATTTTTGTTGTTATTTACTTGGCCCATAAGTAAACTAAACTAAACTAAGTAATTACAGCTTTCCCAATGAGTATGATTGTTACTTTAATAGAATATCTGTTATTAAAATACCATTATATTCCTTGGAAAAAATATATTCGTTATTACGAATTTTCACACATTATTAGATTTAATTGCATTTGGAAGAGTTCTCTTGTATAAGATCAAGATTATCTGTTCCTCTAAAGTTAGGTAGAACTCACATTTAAAACCATCTGGTGTTGAAGCTGTTTTAGGGGAGAAGTCTTTGATTACCTTTTAATTATTTCCCTGATGATTGTCTCATTCAAGGTTTTTGCTTAATCCTGTAACAATTTTGGTATTATATATAACTCCAGAAATTCATCAATTTTATCTAAGTTCTCCAATTTTTAGCCATTCTGTTGTTCATGATATACTTTGATCATACATTGATCCCTGTGTTATTCAAGGTCACCTGCAGATCCTTTAAAAGTATCTTTTTGTTTATTGATCTCTGATGTTTTATGCTTTTGATTTCATAAAATTTGAGGCTTTATAAATATTTACTATGTGCAGGTGTATTCTAGGTTTTGGAGTGTGAAAATCTATATGCATTTATGGGTTTGAGCTTATCAATCAGAGAGTTTTTTTCAAACCGTCTAAATCCTTCCGCTTTTTATTTTTTGTCTTTTGGATCAGTTTTTCTTCTTGAAAGTGTGTCCAAAACTCCAACTGCAATTGTTGATTTATGCACCTTTTTCTCAGAATGTATCTGTCTTCATCATAGAGGTGGATGTATACATTTCATTTTCTTTTTTATTTCCTCTTTCTTGTTTTTGTTCGTTTGTTTGTTTGTTTGTTTTGAGACGGAGTCTTGCTCTGTTGCCCAGGCTGGAGTGCAGTGGCGCTATCTCTGCAAGCTCCGCCTCCTGGGTTCACGCCATTCTCCTGCCTCAACCTCCTGAGTAGCTGGGACTACAGGCGCCCGCTACCACGCCTGGCTAACTTTGTATTTTTTAGTAGAGATGGGGTTTCACTGTGTTAGCCAGGATGTTCTCCATCTCCTGACCTCGTGATCTGCCCATCTTGTTCTCCCAAAGTGTTGGGATTACAGGCATGAGCCACTGCGCCCAGCATCTCCTTTCTTCATATGTATGTGTATATATACACATATATGGTATTCATATCTTTTACTTACATAGTTTAACAACTTATAATTTCTTTGTTATTAAAATTGATAATAAAAATGGATGTCTCATGTATTTTCAACTAGCTGTTTTCTTTTGTTTCAAATATCTCTAATAGACAATGTATTACAGCATCTTATTTCCTGAGAGTCTCTGTGATTTGATGTGCATGTTTAACCTATTTACATTTACTTAAATTACTGTCATACTATGATTTATTCTTGTCATCCTATTGCATATTTTCTATGTATCAACCTTTCTTCTTGTTTATTTTTTCTCCATTCTTGCATTTTATTGAAGAGAGCAATTTTTTTTCTTCTGGTTTGAAAGCCAAATTTTAACGTCTATCTTCAGTTGGTTTCTGCTAATACCTTAAATTTCAGACTTAATTTTTTAGAGCTCATTATTATTTCTTCCCTGTGTAAAAGACAAGAACCTGAACATACTGTCCAAATCCTCTGATTTCTGCATGTTCCTGACCCTCAGCATATATTGGTATAATCTGGAACATTTCATCTGTGTTAGTACAGGGCTCTGCTGTACAATGTAGTAGCCACTAACCACACATGGCTATTCAAATTTAAATTTATTAAGGTTAAATAAAATTTAAAACTCAGTTCCTTGGCCACACTAGCCATACTTTTCATCCAACAGCCACACATGGCTATGGTCTATCATATTGAACAGTACAAATAGAATATCTCCATCAAAACAGAAAGGCCCATTGGACGACACTCTTATACACATATACAAATAATCACACACAATATTTCTTTTTTGCCATTGCTTATTTGGTTGACCTTAAACTTTCTTTTTGGAATTATTTGTTTTCTCTGTAGAAGTACTCCCTGTAGAATGTTTTCTGTAAGATTTTATGTGCCCTCGCCTTCTATGTGTCTCTTGAAATGCCTTTTATTCAACCTAGTGTTTAAATAATAGTTTATCTGTATATAAAACTCTAGGTCTAAGTTTATTTTTCTTCAATATTTTTCAAATGTCACTTTAATATTCTAGTGTTGCCATTCAAAAATTTGATGCTAATTATCTTAATTTACAATGAAATATTATTTCTTATTCAGATGCTTTTAGAATTTTGCCTTTGTTATTTTAAATTAAGTGTAATGTGTCAAGATTTGAGGTTTTGCTTATCAATGTGGTCTGTTGTTTTATGGAGCCATTTTGATCTGACTTTCTATCTTTCTTTAATTCTCAATTATATCTCAACAACAATGAAAACAATTCTATACTCTATTTAGTTTTATGTAGTAAATCAAAATTGACCTTTCCACTTTTAGTTTCTCTTTATTTTAGTTCTTAGATATTTTCCATCTTTTATGCCTTTATTTAAACTTGGGGAAAATTTTCCAACCAGATTCTTTATCTTACTGATTTATTCTTTGTCTATATACATTTTGCTATTATATGTTTTATTCCCATCCTCATTTGATTCTTTGTCTTCACTGATTGTTCCTGCTTCATATTTGCAATATCCTTTCCTGCTCTCTGAAGATATTTATTTTATTTCCAGTTCTTGTTTTATCTGGACCATTAATTCAGCTCTCTCTGATAAGATTCTTCAGTATCTATTTTTCTTTTAAAGGGCTAGTACTCCTCCTCAGATATATTTTTTTCTCTCTTCCTATGAGCTCAAATTCTGCTGGGAGTATGGACTACCTCAGCTAGTAGTATTCCTTTAGGAGTAGAGATGGAAGCTTAGACCTAGTATGTGCCCTCCTGCTCCTCTTTTTAGGATATACGGAAATGACGTAAAGGAAAGAACCTGTATTATTGCAAATCTGGAATGCTCTATTTCTACCTCAGTTCCCAATACTGCCACCCAGTGAACATCCCATTTCTTCTGCCCAGGCGCTGCGCTTTCTGGGGTTGGCTTGATTCTGTTGTAATTATCTCATTCATTAGCAAAGAGGAAGCCGGCCTTCCCATGTGAAATGGTGGCGTCCGGGGTTCCTCCACAGCACTCGCATGTCGCCTGCCTCTTCCATGTGAAATGGTGGCGTCCGGGGTTCCTCCACAGCACTCGCATGTCGCCTGCCTCTTCCATGTGAAATGGTGGCATCCAGGGTTCCTCCACAGAACTCGCATGTCGCCTGCCTCTTCATGTGAAATGGTGGCATCCAGGGTTCCTCCACAGCACTCGCATGTCGCCTGCCTCTTCCATGTGAAATGGTGGCGTCCAGGGTTCCTCCTCAGCACTCCCATGTCGCCTGCCTGTTCCATGTGAAATGGTGGCGTCCGGGGTTCCTCTCCAGCACTCGCATGTCACCTGCCTCTTCCATGTGAAATGGTGGCATCCAGGGTTCCTCCTCAGCACTCGCATGTCGCCTGCCTCTTCATGTGAAATGGTGGCGTCCAGGGTTCCTCCTCAGCACTCGCATGTCGCCTGCCTCTTCCATGTGAAATGGTGGCGTCCAGGGTTCCTCCTCAGCACTCGCATGTCCCCTGCCTCTTCATGTGAAATGGTGGCGTCCAGGGTTCCTCCTCAGCACTCGCATGTCCCCTGCCTCTTCATGTGAAATGGTGGCGCCCAGGGTTCCTCCTCAGCACTCGCATGTCGCCTGCCTCTTCATGTGAAATGGTGGCGTCCGGGGTTCCTCTCCAGCACACGCATGTCGCCTGCCTCTTCATGTGAAATGGTGGCGTCCAGGGTTCCTCCTCAGCACTCGCATGTCGCCTGCCTCTTCCATGTGAAATGGTGGCGTCCAGGGTTCCTCCTCAGCACTCGCATGTCCCCTGCCTCTTCCATGTGAAATGGTGGCGTCCAGGGTTCCTCTCCAGCACTCGCATGTCGCCTGCCTCTTCATGTGAAATGGTGGCGCCCGGGGTTCCTCCTCAGCACTCGCATGTCCCCTGCCTCTTCATGTGAAATGGTGGCGCCCGGGGTTCCTCTCCAGCACTCGCATGTCGCCTGCGTCTTCCATGTGAAATGGTGGCGTCCGGGGTTCCTCTCCAGCACTCGCATGTCGCCTGCCTCTTCATGTGAAATGGTGGCGTCCGGGGTTCCTCTCCAGCACTCGCATGTCGCCTGCCTCTTCCATGTGAAATGGTGGCGTCCAGGGTTCCTCCACAGCACTCGCATGTCGCCTGCCTCTTCCATGTGAAATGGTGGCATCCAGGGTTCCTCCACAGCACTCGCATGTCGCCTGCCTCTTCCATGTGAAATGGTGGCATCCAGGGTTCCTCCACAGCACTCGCATGTCGCCTGCCTCTTCCATGTGAAATGGTGGCGTCCAGGGTTCCTCCTCAGCACTCCCATGTCGCCTGCCTGTTCCATGTGAAATGGTGGCGTCCGGGGTTCCTCTCCAGCACTCGCATGTCACCTGCCTCTTCCATGTCAAATGGTGGCATCCAGGGTTCCTCCTCAGCACTCGCATGTCGCCTGCCTCTTCATGTGAAATGGTGGCGTCCGGGGTTCCTCCTCAGCACTCACATGTCGCCTGTCTCATGCATGTGAAATGGTGGCGTCCGAGGTTCCTCTCCAGCACACGCATGTCGCCTGCCTCTTCATGTGAAATGGTGGCGTCCAGGGTTCCTCCTCAGCACTCGCATGTCGCCTGCCTCTTCATGTGAAATGGTGGCGTCCAGGGTTCCTCCTCAGCACTCGCATGTCCCCTGCCTCTTCCATGTGAAATGGTGGCGTCCAGGGTTCCTCTCCAGCACTCGCATGTCGCCTGCCTCTTCATGTGAAATGGTGGCGCCCGGGGTTCCTCCTCAGCACTCGCATGTCCCCTGCCTCTTCATGTGAAATGGTGGCGCCCGGGGTTCCTCTCCAGCACTCGCATGTCGCCTGCGTCTTCCATGTGAAATGGTGGCGTCCGGGGTTCCTCTCCAGCACTCGCATGTCGCCTGCCTCTTCATGTGAAATGGTGGCGTCCGGGGTTCCTCCTCAGCACTCACATGTCGCCTGCCTCTTCCATGTGAAATGGTGGCGTCCAGGGTTCCTCCACAGCACTCGCATGTCGCCTGCCTCTTCCATGTGAAATGGTGGCATCCAGGGTTCCTCCACAGCACTCGCATGTCGCCTGCCTCTTCCATGTGAAATGGTGGCGTCCAGGGTTCCTCCTCAGCACTCCCATGTCGCCTGCCTGTTCCATGTGAAATGGTGGCGTCCGGGGTTCCTCTCCAGCACTCGCATGTCCCCTGCCTCTTCATGTGAAATGGTGGCGCCCAGGGTTCCTCCTCAGCACTCGCATGTCGCCTGCCTCTTCATGTGAAATGGTGGCGTCCGGGGTTCCTCCTCAGCACTCACATGTCGCCTGTCTCATGCATGTGAAATGGTGGCGTCCGGGGTTCCTCTCCAGCACACGCATGTCGCCTGCCTCTTCATGTGAAATGGTGGCGTCCAGGGTTCCTCCTCAGCACTCACATGTCGCCTGCCTCTTCATGTGAAATGGTGGCGTCCAGGGTTCCTCCTCAGCACTCGCATGTCGCCTGCCTCTTCATGTGAAATGGTGGCGTCCGGGGTTCCTCTCCAGCACTCGCATGTCGCCTGCCTCTTCCATGTGAAATGGTGGCATCCAGGGTTCCTCTCCAGCACTCGCATGTCGCCTGCCTCTTCCATGTGAAATGGTGGCGTCCAGGGTTCCTCTCCAGCACACGCATGTCGCCTGCCTCTTCATGTGAAATGGTGGCGTCCAGGGTTCCTCCTCAGCACTCGCATGTCCCCTGCCTCTTCCATGTGAAATGGTGGCGTCCGGGGTTCCTCCTCAGCACTCGCATGTCGCCTGCCTCTTCATGTGAAATGGTGGCGTCCGGGGTTCCTCTCCAGCACTCGCATGTCCCCTGCCTCTTCCATGTGAAATGGTGGCGTCCGGGGTTCCTCTCCAGCACTCGCATGTCGCCTGCCTCTTCATGTGAAATGGTGGCGTCCGGGGTTCCTCCTCAGCACTCACATGTCGCCTGTCTCATGCATGTGAAATGGTGGCGTCCAGGGTTCCTCCTCAGCACTCGCATGTCCCCTGCCTCTTCATGTGAAATGGTGGCGTCCAGGGTTCCTCCTCAGCACTCGCATGTCCCCTGCCTCTTCCATGTGAAATGGTGGCGCCCGGGGTTCCTCTCCAGCACTCACATGTCGCCTGCGTCTTCCATGTGAAATGGTGGCGTCCGGGGTTCCTCCACAGCACTCGCATGTCGCCTGCCTCTTCATGTGAAATGGTGGCGTCCGGGGTTCCTCCTCAGCACTCACATGTCCCCTGCCTCTTCCATGTGAAATGGTGGCGCCCAGGGTTCCTCTCCAGCACTCGCATGTCGCCTGCGTCTTCCATGTGAAATGGTGGCGTCCGGGGTTCCTCTCCAGCACTCGCATGTCGCCTGCCTCTTCATGTGAAATGGTGGCGTCCGGGGTTCCTCCTCAGCACTCGCATGTCCCCTGCCTCTTCCATGTGAAATGGTGGCGTCCAGGGTTCCTCTCCAGCACTCGCATGTCGCCTGCCTCTTCATGTGAAATGGTGGCGCCCGGGGTTCCTCCTCAGCACTCGCATGTCCCCTGCCTCTTCATGTGAAATGGTGGCGCCCGGGGTTCCTCTCCAGCACTCGCATGTCGCCTGCGTCTTCCATGTGAAATGGTGGCGTCCGGGGTTCCTCTCCAGCACTCGCATGTCGCCTGCCTCTTCATGTGAAATGGTGGCGTCCGGGGTTCCTCCTCAGCACTCGCATGTCGCCTGCCTCTTCCATGTGAAATGGTGGCGTCCAGGGTTCCTCCACAGCACTCGCATGTCGCCTGCCTCTTCCATGTGAAATGGTGGCATCCAGGGTTCCTCCACAGCACTCGCATGTCGCCTGCCTCTTCCATGTGAAATGGTGGCATCCAGGGTTCCTCCTCAGCACTCGCATGTCGCCTGCCTCTTCATGTGAAATGGTGGCGTCCAGGGTTCCTCCTCAGCACTCGCATGTCGCCTGCCTCTTCCATGTGAAATGGTGGCGTCCAGGGTTCCTCTCCAGCACACGCATGTCGCCTGCCTCTTCATGTGAAATGGTGGCGTCCGGGGTTCCTCTCCAGCACTCGCATGTCGCCTGCCTCTTCCATGTGAAATGGTGGCATCCAGGGGTTCCTCTCCAGCACTCGCATTTCGCCTGCCTCTTCCACGTGAAATGGTGGCGTCCAGGGTTCCTCTCCAGCACTCGCATGTCGCCTGCCTCTTCATGTGAAATGGTGGCATCCAGGGTTTCTCCTCAGCACTCGCATGTCGCCTGCCTCTTCATGTGAAATGGTGGCATCCAGGGTTCCTCCTCAGCACTCGCATGTCCCCTGCCTCTTCCATGTGAAATGGTGGCGTCCGGGGTTCCTCCTCAGCACTCGCATGTCGCCTGCCTCTTCATGTGAAATGGTGGCGTCCGGGGTTCCTCCTCAGCACTCACATGTCGCCTGTCTCATGCATGTGAAATGGTGGTGTCCGGGGTTCCTCTCCAGCACACGCATGTCGCCTGCCTCTTCATGTGAAATGGTGGCGTCCAGGGTTCCTCCTCAGCACTCGCATGTCGCCTGCCTCTTCATGTGAAATGGTGGCGTCCAGGGTTCCTCCTCAGCACTCGCATGTCGCCTGCCTCTTCATGTGAAATGGTGGCGTCCAGGGTTCCTCCTCAGCACTCGCATGTCGCCTGCCTCTTCATGTGAAATGGTGGCATCCAGGGTTCCTCTCCAGCACTCGCATGTCGCCTGCCTCTTCCATGTGAAATGGTGGCGTCCAGGGTTCCTCTCCAGCACACGCATGTCGCCTGCCTCTTCATGTGAAATGGTGGCGTCCGGGGTTCCTCTCCAGCACTCGCATGTCGCCTGCCTCTTCCATGTGAAATGGTGGCATCCAGGGTTCCTCTCCAGCACTCGCATGTCGCCTGCCTCTTCCATGTGAAATGGTGGCGTCCAGGGTTCCTCTCCAGCACACGCATGTCGCCTGCCTCTTCATGTGAAATGGTGGCGTCCAGGGTTCCTCCTCAGCACTCGCATGTCCCCTGCCTCTTCATGTGAAATGGTGGCGTCCAGGGTTCCTCCTCAGCACTCGCATGTCCCCTGCCTCTTCCATGTGAAATGGTGGCGCCCGGGGTTCCTCTCCAGCACTCGCATGTCGCCTGCGTCTTCCATGTGAAATGGTGGCGTCCGGGGTTCCTCTCCAGCACTCGCATGTCGCCTGCCTCTTCCATGTGAAATGGTGGCGTCCGGGGTTCCTCTCCAGCACTCGCATGTCGCCTGCCTCTTCCATGTGAAATGGTGGCGTCCGGGGTTCCTCTCCAGCACTCGCATGTCGCCTGCCTCTTCCATGTGAAATGGTGGCGTCCAGGGTTCCTCTCCAGCACTCGCATGTCGCCTGTCTCTTCCATGTGAAATAGTGGCGTCCAGGGTTCCTCTCCAGCACTCGCATGTCGCCTGCCTCTTCCATGTGAAATGGTGGCGTCCGGGGTTCCTCCTCAGCACTCACATGTCCCCTGCCTCTTCCATGTGAAATGGTGGCGTCCAGGGTTCCTCTCCAGCACTCGCATGTCGCCCGCCTCTTCATCTGAAATGGTGGCGCCCGGGGTTCCTCTCCAGCACTCGCATGTCGCCTGCCTCTTCCACGTGAAATGGTGGCGTCCGGGGTTCCTCTCCAGCACTCGCATGTTGCCTGCCTTTTCCATGTGAAATGGTGGCGTCCAGGGTTCCTCTCCAGCACTCGCATGTCGCCTGCCTCTTCCATGTGAAATAGTGGCGTCCTGGGTTCCTCCTCAGCACTCACATGTCCCCTGCCTCTTCCATGTGAAATGGTGGCGTCCAGGGTTCCTCTCCAGCACTCGCATGTCGCCCGCCTCTTCATCTGAAATGGTGGCGCCCTGGGTTCCTCCACAGCACTCGCATGTCGCCTGCCTCTTCCATGTGAAATGGTGGCGTCCAGGGTTCCTCCTCAGCACTCACATGTCCCCTGCCTCTTCCATGTGAAATGGTGGCGTCCAGGGTTCCTCTCCAGCACTCGCATGTCGCCCGCCTCTTCATCTGAAATGGTGGCGCCCGGGGTTCCTCTCCAGCACTCGCATGTCGCCTGCCTCTTCCACGTGAAATGGTGGCGTCCGGGCTTCCTCTCCAGCACTCGCATGTCGCCTGCCTCTTCCATGTGAAATGGTGGCGTCCGGGGTTCCTCCTCAGCACTCGCATGGTGCCTGCCTCTTCCTCATGTGCCGTCCTGGGGATGCTGTGTGTCCCCACCTGCAGGGATGGGGGAAAACAATGCTCCCTCCGAGGCAACGAAGGATGAAAACCTTAGGACAACTAGAAAGCTCCTTCCCACAGTGTCCCCTCATTAGTGACAGCTGGTTCTCTTCGGGTATGGGCTGCTCTCTCCCAGAAAATCACCTAACACCTTCTGCTACCGCAAGAGCTGTACTGATTCTGTTAGCAGTCATTCTCCCAGTTGCTTATGTAGCATTTCAGGTTGAGTTTAAGGAAGGGGGTCAGACTCCCAAGCTAGTGTGCTGTCTTGTCCAGAAGTCTCAGTACACGAGTCAAAGTTTACACTGATCTGATTCAAATGTGGCCGTAGGCCCACCTAAATAAAGAACAAGTGATGACTTCATGTGAAAAAGTTCCAGGAAATAAAGCACTCCACAACCTGGAGGGAAACTTATTTATCCCCAAATCCACTGAAAACTGGACCAGGAAGAACTCCACTTGGAAAAAGTCTAAAATGGCCTATCAATTCCTGGCCTCTGTTATTCCAGATTTTGAAAGCAAAAACATTTGTAATTTTTCCCAAATTATAAATAGAGAATACTATTGCAGCCCCTCAAAAAAAAAAAAAAATCACGCCTTTACCATCAAGATAGTAGAAATAAATTACTGGCAATTGAAGACAGCAGTAATAATCACTAAATCATCAGCAAGTTTTATACTTTTACTAATCAGTTTCAACCAATGTTTATGTGCCAGGCAGATGTTTTGTACTGAGTATGTTTTCCTACATATTTGTTGGCAGTCAGCCTGAGAAGCGTCCTCAGAGATAAGGAAAATTGAAAAGAAACTGTGACTTGTTCAAGATCACCCAGGTAGTAAATGCTGGAGACGTTGAAGTCCAGGTGGAAGTCTCTTTCATCCTGACTCACTTGCATTTTTTTATGGAAATGGCTGTGAGATACACATCATAAGATCAGCAAAATTGCTCAGGAAATATTTACATCTGTCAAAAAGCTGTCTTGGATGCACACCTGGAATCCATGTGTTTTGGCTTGATTTTTTATTCATTTCTTTTTTTGTCCTGAAAGCTTTTTTTTAACCTGCATATCATTGCAGAAACATATTGTTACCTCTCTGGGAGTAAATGTGTGGTTTCAGGATGAGTTCAAACAAAGGGAGAATCTGGGCTCTGTGGTTTCAGGATGAGTTCAAACAAAGGGAGAATCTGGGCTCTGTGGTTTCAGGATGAGTTCATACAAAGGGAGAATCTGGGCTCTGTGGTTTCTCTTGTGTGGGCATTCTTCAGGAATCTTTTATTTAAGAAATAAATAAAAGCCTTTTCTATAGTTTAGATATTGGAACAGGAACTAGGGCGAATCCAGTTAGTAGCTTTCAATGAACTATTTTAGCAAAACTTAACTGAGCTTAGAATTAAAATCTTTTCTTAGCCCAGTTTTCAACTATTATATCCGATTTTTCTTAGTGTATCCTAGTTATAGTCAGGTAATAAATGAGTTATCAGAGTAAAGCCAAGTGAAAGTCTCATAATAACATTAATGAATCAAAATAGAAAAATATACAATTACATATTTTGCATATTCAAACATTAAGGTGGGAGTTTTTCATCTGAAACAAAAATGTACCTCAGAAAAGAGTAATTGTCTTCCATTTGTGATCTTACAAAATGATTTACCTTAAAGGATGCCATCTTAGATACTTTATTATGAACAACAAAATATGGCTTATGAAAGACAAATCCTGAAATGACCTCAGTCTTTGCTAGTTGATTGTTGCTTATAAAAGTCACCCTTCAGAATTCGCTAAACAGATATAATCATTATAATCATTATTCCTCCAGATATTTAACCTCACACATGTAAGTGAATGTTGCAAACAGGCATGTAAAAAGATGAATGAAAAAGTAATTTTTAATGTTGTGTGAATGGGCAGCTACAGCATGGGATACAATTTCCAATGACATCACATATATTATTTAAAAAACTACTTCTCAAAAAAATCAATGGATTACGACGTGGGAAAAATGTCATAGGAGAGAGCTCAGAAAGTAGTTCTGGTGATGATGAAGATCCCCTATTTAGAGCCACACATCATGAGCCGAACTAAATTGTTTTACCAAAGTGAGAAGTCGAAAAAAATACTGTTCAAATGTTATCTTAGATAATAAAGGAATTTTAAATTATGGATACAACTAAATTTATTAAATATTAAATTAATTAACTGTATTGATTATTTTATCTAAATCTCAATATTCATATGTTCAAGATGGCCCAAAAAAAGAAAAAAACTTCAGGAACTTCTCATCAAGAGTGTTTTATATTTGAGGTCAACTAATATTTGGGCATCTGCACTAAATCTCCAGATTTCTGCCATATCTCAAGTCATGCAGCACAGCCCAGCAGAAGAAGCCATCATGCCATCTGCCCCAGAAGCAGTAGTTAGTTACCCCGAGAGATCAGAAAGGAAGATAAACACAATCAGATGGAGAGCATGCTGCAGGCTTCACATCAAAACTTTTGTTGGCTTTTGCCCATTCAATGAGAACACTTGGACACAGGAAGGGGAACATCACACACCGGGGCCTGTTGTGGGGTGGGGGGAGGGGGGAGGGATAGCACTAGGAGAAATACCTAATGTAAATGACGAGTTAATGGGTGCAGCACACCAACATGGCACATGTATACATATGTAACAAACCTGCACGTTGTGCACATGTACCCTAGAACTTAAAGTATAATAAAAAAAACTATATATATATATATATATATATATATAAATTAAAAAATAAAAAAACCTTTTGTTGGTTCACACGACTGAACCAATGTATTCGCCATGTTAATAGTTGAGTTCTAAATAAGATTATCTTAATTAAATTCAAATAAATTAAAAGAGAATGAACATCAAACCAGTGGCCATGCAAAGTATGTTGTTGTTTCTCACTGGGTATGTAAATGTCCTCAAGAGCAAAAAAGATCATTAGACAACAAGATCCTTCCCACTTAGGAAAAACAAGAGAATGTAGATTAGAAGGTAGGTAGGAAATCTCACCTCTCCCCCAAAGTCAGCAACTGACAGAATGAAGATGTGATTCACAAGTGTGATCTGCAACATGTTATAAAAAGGAAATCCATCATCAGGGCTGTTAGAAGAGCACCGATGACAAAAACATCACTAAAACTGCCTGCTAATATTTAATGGCCAATGAAATAAAGTCTAAAATCAACTTTATAAAATTAGATCCACCATCACAACTTGATCCGACTCCATTCAACCTTTCCAGTTTTTCTCAGCAAAATTCACATCTTAACTTGGACCAGGGTTTCCGGTTTTGTTTTGCTTTTTTCTAGATGGAGTTTCGCTCTTGTTGCCCAGGCTGGAGTGCAATGGCGTGATCTCGGCTCACCGCAACCTCCGCCGCCGGGGTTCAAGCAATTCTCCTGCCTCAGACTCCTGAGCAGCTGTGATTACTGTCATGTGCCACCACGCCCGGCTAATTTTGTATATTTAGTAGAGATGGGTTTGCTCCATGTTGGTCAGGCTGGTCTCAAACTCCTGACCTCAGGTGATCCACCCGCCTCGGCCTCCCAAAGTGCTGGGATTACAGGCATGAGCCACTGCGTCTGGCCTTAGACCAGGGTTTCTTAACTATGACACTATTGACATTGTGGGCCCAATAATTCTTAAATGTTGGGGGCTGTCTTGTGCCTTGTAGGAGATTTAGCTGCATGGCTGGCCTCTCCCCACTACATGCCAGTAGCATCCCCCTCCTCAGTTGTGACAACCCCAGTTATCTCTAGCTACCAATAAATGTCCTCTGGGAAGTAAAATCACACTTGGCTGAGAATTGACCTAGACATGACATGTCAATATGAAAATGTCAGTTATGGCTGCTACTATATTTTCTGGCTAATGAATTCTGAATAAGAAAAGTATGGGATGTGGGAAGAGAAGGCTGGCATGAGTAAGGTTAGGGGTGGGAGTGAAGATGGTAGAGGCAATTATAGACTGCCTCTCCTTCTCCCTTCTCCCTTATGGTCTTGTAAAGCCTTCTGCAGAAAGAGAACCTGAGTTAGCTTTAGTTCTAAGCAACAAACTAGTTCACCCCAACGCTGGGTACACCTGGGTCCTGGCATCTTCCTGCATTTGGCCTCACGGTGTTTCTGGATGGCTGCATCCTAAATGTTACCCAAGAGCTCTGGAGTCCACTGTGGAAGCAGGGCTCAGCTGCCCTTCCGTCCATCTGTTCTGCTAACCGTGGAAACTTGTTCCCACCCTCGAAGGTGTCCTGACAAACATCTCTAAACAGGAAATAATCACTGCTGCATCTGCCCTTTCTTCACGTACATGCCCACAATTATTAAGGCCTCCTTCTATGATCTGATGCCTCTCAAATACTCATACTCATGCCCAGCAATCAGAAAACGACCCTCCTTAGGAAAGGGAATTGCAACATAGGTCCCATGTTTGGTGACAGTGGACTTCACTTGTTATTTATCTGGGTGTTAAAGAAACAGAATTGATGTCACGTGGACTTTATTAGTTCTGCTGGCCTTTTCTTTTCCAAGTTCACAAAATTGAAAGCTGTTTAAGTAAAATCAAGTGGTCTGAGCTAACCTCCCACTTCCCTCTCCATCTGTGGAGTATTTGCTTCCAGATATACTCAGGCTGTTCCAATTTCTGTGGGCTGACATTGGCCCAGTTCACCGACTGCGGTGTCAAACACACAGAAGCAAGCAGCACTTGTAGTTGTCTCTTTGATAGGAGAGGCCCGACTTTTCCCCAGCTCTCCATTTTAAGAGAGGATTTCTTGTCTACATCTTTTCCCTCTTTCATCGGCAACATACATCTAAGAAAGTGCCAGTTACTATGTTTCTGCTGCCTATCTTTTTCTGAAAATCACTAATGTTAAATTTGTAAATTATAATTTTGCAAGCAAGGTAGGGTGAAGGCTTGACAGCAAACGTGGCTTCCTTCTTTCTGCCTCTCTTCCCTTTTTCAGTGAAGAACACATCTGATTACCAGGTCTTTGAAGCCAGAGCCATGCCTTCCTTCTCTGTCTCCCCCGCAATCCCCAGTTCACTGTGGTGGACATAATAAAAATGCAATATGACTGTTTTGGATTGAGCTGAATTTTATTTCTAAAGGGAAGTTTGGCTGGTCCTATTCTTCTTCTCCCAGAGAGGTCTTCCTGCAATCGGCTCCATTGCTGAACACGCAGTGGCTGATTGGTTCCGTCGTGAGGGCTGCTGAGTGGCTGGTGGTTTTCAAAAGCGGACATTTGTCCCTCAGGGCCAGAGCCGAATCACCACACAAGTTCACAGACTCCTCCCGGGCACCGAGGCGCTGACTCTGAGTCATGATCAACGTGAGCAGCATTCTTTCTGGTAATTTAGTGGCAAAGAGGACAAATCCCACATTTGTCTTCTTATTGGCCAATGCCCCTTGGACTTTGGGTGTTCTCCATATCCTTCTGTGATCCTAACAACACTGTATCATTTTTTCAGATGGCTAGAAAGTGACAGGAACAGCAAGAACTGCCTTTCCCGGTGACCCAAATTTGCTACCACTATAGAGACCGGTGAAGTCCAGCACCTGCTACACGAAGCAGTCACAGCTGTTCCGCATCCAGGAAAACCCCCAGTGATGACACAGCTGAAATTTTACTGTACTTGAAGACAGTCAAAGATTTTTGTGTTTGTCTTCTCTCATTAACTCAGCCTTTGAGCATCTCTCCACTTTTATTTTGATATACCAACTTCATTATTTATATGAACATTGCATTATGCTTTTTAGCCATTAAACCCATTATTATAAACCCACACAAAAATCCTATATGACAGACTGGAATTATGCGTATTTCAGAGAAGACAGAATGCATGCAAGCCTTTTGAGGATTTTTAAAAACACACAAACCAGGTAGAAAGGCAATTTCATGGGCTAGAATTTCATAACTCAGTAAATATGAATGTACGGGGTGCAGCATTCTATGAGGTATTTTGGTACCAAAAAATGATGGATAAGCCAAGTTCCTTCCTGAAGATCCCTGATGCTGATTCTGTACAGATTCTATAATGTTGCATTTATTTAACTCTCCTATCACATCCCAAATTGACTCACAAGGGATCCATTCATTCACTGCCACCAGAAAGAGCACCCTGTTGTGGGACTGGACAGCAACAGGTCTTACTTACATACTGCTGGTGGGAGTGTGGACTCACACAAGTCTTTTTAGAAACAATTTAGCATTATCTAAGAAACTTGATGACCCACGTACACGGTGGCCCAAATATTCCACTCCTGGGAATATTTTCTTGAGAGAGATCCCCAAGTGCTCCAAGGAGACATGTCCAAAGTGTTTATAGCTGCATTATTTTTAATAGCAAAAAAAAAAATGGAAACAACACAGATGTCCATTGGCAAAGGGAATGGATAATTTGATCATGTGTTAAAAAGAACCTTTGCCCAGCTATGTTCATGGGCAAACAGATTTGACTGTTGCCTAACTCTGAGCCTGCTTGAGCCTCTACCACTCATCCTACACCTTGTAGAGAACTGGGCCAGCTTTAATGCCCACGCAGAAGACATTAGGCTGCAATGATGATCCTTGCCAAGAGCGACTTCTCAATTCCTTATCACAGTCAATCCAAAAGTGCCTTTTACAATCTCACCGTATTTGGAAGGAGCTTTCAGAGAGACTCACTGAACTTACTCCAGGGTATTGCTGCTCTAAAAATTAAACTCTGACTTGGCATATACTGTTCTTGGTCCTTGGTTACTCTTCAAGAGGTATTAAGTTAAATCAATGAATATTATATAGCAGTGCAAATAAATGAACTTCAGAACACATAATATTATCTTGCTTAGGGGTTGTATATAAACTGATTAACAGAAAATAAAGAATGAGCAATGCTAGTCAGCCCTCAGATTTTCGGCCATCTCAGGCCAGGCCAGACATGTGAGTGAAGGAGTTTTCTGGGACATTCCAGTTTCAGTTTCCTCAATGTAAAACCAGGACACTAATCATTATAATATCAGACTATTATGAAGACAAAAAAATACTGTATGTAAATACCCTAGAACAGTATGTTGCACATAGTTGGCTGCTCAATAAATGACAGGTAAGTTGCAGAATGATGAGAAACCAAAGGCTCATGTATTCAGGGAATTTCACATGTTGGGTCTTATTTTTCAAATTGTGATCAGCCTGTCTGGATCAAAAAAACCTGAGGTGCTTCTTAACAATGCAGTGCTGGGCCTCACCAAAAACCTACATTTAGAACCTCTCCAGGTAGTGCCAGGAGGTATGCATTTTAACACACAATCCAGGGGATTCTTCGACATAAAAAACTTAAGAACCACAAGCTTCGAGATTCAAATCCAGGCATGTATGAAGTAGCCTGAGAGAGGATATAAACAGACTGGAATGACATTTTTCTCAGTAATAGAAAAAACAGTCTTAAAATTTGTTTGGAATCAAAAAGGAGCCCAAATAGCCAAAGCAATCCTGAGCAAAAAGAACAAAGCTGGAAGCATCACCCTGCCTGGCTTCAAAATATGCTATAAGGCTACTGCAAACAAAACAGCATGGTATTGGTATAAAAAGACACATAGACCAGTGGAACAGAATAGAGAACCCAGAACTAAATCCATGTACTTATAGCCAACTGACTTTTGAAAAAAGGCATCAAGAATATATGCTGGGGAAAGGACATTCTGTCCAACAAATGGTGCTGGAAAAACTGGACATTCATATGCAGAAGAATGAAACTAGACCCCTATCTCTCACCATATGCAAAAATCAACTCAAAATGAATTAAAAACTTAAATATAAGACCCAACAGGATGAAACTACTAGAAGAAAATACAGGAGAAACACTCAAGGACCTTGATTTAGGCAAAGATTTTATGGCTAAGACCTTAAAAGTACAGGAAACAAAAAATAGACAAACGAAACTATGTTAAACTAAACTTCTGCACAACAAAGGAAACTACCAACAGAGTGAAGACACAACCTCTTGAGTGGAAGAAAATATATGCAAACTATTCATCTGACAAAGGTCTGATATCCAAAATATACAAGAAACTCAGATTACTCAACAACAAAACAACAACAAATAATCCCACTAAAAATGGGCAAGGGATCTAAACAGACATTTCTTTAAAAAAGACATACAAATGACAAACAGGTATATGAAAAAATGCTCAGAATCACTAGTCACCAGGAAAATGCAAATCAAAGCCGCAATGAGGATTGTCTTGCCCCAGTAAGATTGGCTACTAACAGGAAGCCAAAAAATAGATACCGGCAAGGATGCTGTTGGTGGGATTGTAAATTAGTACAGTCATTATGTAAAATGGAGATTTCTCAAAAAAAAACTGAACGTAAAACTACGATACAATATAGCAATTTCATTAGTGGGTAATTTATCCAAAGGAAAGGAAATCAGTATAAGAGAGAGATACCTGCACCCCCATGCTTATTGCCGCATTATTCACAATAGCAAAGACATGGAATCAACCTAAGTATCCATCAACGAACAAGTGGATAAAGAAAATGGAGTATACATACACAATTAAATATTATTCAGCCATAATAAAGAATGAAATCCTGTCATTTTCAGCACCATGGGTGGAACTGGAGGTCATTATGTTCAGAGAAATAGGCCAGGCACAAAAAGACAAATACCACATGTTCTTACTTATATATGGGAGCAAAAAAAGATGATCTCATGGAGGTGGAGAGTGGAATGACACTTACAAGAAGCTGGGAAAGGGGGTGGCAGGAGAGATGAAGGGAGGCTGGTTAAGGGGTACAAACATACAGTTGGAGAGAAGAAATACATTCTAGCGTCCAGTAACACAGTAGGGTGACTATAGTTAACAATAATTTATTGTACATTTCAAAATAACTAGAAGAGAAGATATGAAATATCCTCAACATAAAGAAATGATAAATGCTCAGGGAGATGGTTATCTTAAATACCCTGATCATTACACATTCTATGCATGTATCCAAATATCACACGTCCCATGTGAATATGTACAAATATTAGCAATCAATTTTTAAAAAGATTGGGAACTACGGAAACGGAAGCCTCCCTAGTAATGATTAACAGGAGTAAATTACAGGAGCACCTGAGATTTAATTAATAATAATTAATTGTGTATACTGCTTGCATACCTGCTACACGGTAAACATAATAGCACATTGCTTGATTTCTAATAAAACTCTTGAATGGTGTGCTACTCCTATATTCACAGGTGGGGACACAGTGGCTCAGAAACATTAAGTGACTGCCCAAGGACATACAGCCAGTAAGCACTAACCTGCTATTTATATAAAGATATGAGCCACAAAATCACACGGCTGTTACAGGTGAAACAGGATTATACAGTCACGCGCCACATAACGACATTTTGGTCAGCAATGGATCGACATAGGATGGTGGCCCCATAAGATGATGATACTGTATTTTTACTCTACCTTTTCTATGTTTAGATATATTTAGATACACAAATACTTACCATTGTGTTACAGTATTCAGTACGGTAACGTGCTGTAGAGGTTTGTTACCCAGGATCTACAGGCTGTACCATACAGCCTCCGTGTGTAGTAGGCTATGCCATCTAAGTTTGTATAAGTGCACTCTATGATGTTTGCATGACAAAATCACCTAATGACACATTTCTCAGAGTATTCTTGTTAAGCAGTACATAACTGTATTTACAATTATGTATGCCCTAAAGGGCCACTAGTTAGCATTAATACATGTAAGCCAAGAGGCTTCAGCAGGGAATTCTTCCCCTCCTACAACTATTCTCCTTAGAGCCATAATAATTGAACAAGCTATCCTCTTATTTTCAGAAGGCTACAACTACAGGGGACTGAAAACAAACTAACACGACGTTTGAATTTAAAAAGACAGTAATACTTAGCCACAGCTCTCTCCAAACCACTTGGAATGGTGTTTCCAGTTGTCTGATTAGCAGGGCAGGTGGTTCCACTGCTAGGACTCACTGGGTGTCGGTTCTATCATCCCAGCACCCAACACAGGACCGTTTCAGACACACTGAGACCCAGAAGGAGCCTCAGCTCCCATCACAGGTCCAGTCTGGATGTGGTAGGGTACGAAAGGGAAGCGAGTACAATGATGAAAATCCTGATGGTGACCCCTGAGGCAGAGGAAGGCACAGCTAATGTCTGCCCACTCATGGCTTCCCACTTAACTCTGGGCTCCGCTGCCCACCTGTGGCCTGAGATGGGACGACAGGGAGCGAGAGAAACCCCTCTCTGTTTGGAGACTGCCATCACTCCCAGCCACAGACAGCCCTGATCTGTCTCTATCTCTAGACACAATAGGATCTCACCCACTACGTAGGAAAGGGTGATGTCAATTTGGAAGAGGAAGGCTACAAAAATGCAGCAACAGCCAAACATCTCCTAAGAGCAATTAACCTCAAAATAATTTGTAAGCTGGACATTTCCCATTCTAAGATATACAAAACGAGCAATTCCAGGCATATCTCATTGGTGACAGGAAAAGGAAAGCATATCTTCTGAGATCTTTCCAAATACTCCAACCCCCACAAGACGTGCTCCACTTGATGAACACTGCTTCCTGCAGCTGTTGGTTTTCTCACTGGCCTCCCTGAATCTCCCTCAGTCTGGCCTCGCCCCACAGCCACGCATTTCAAAGGCTAATGAGGTTCCTAATCTGATTTCTCCATCAATCGAGCCCTGGCTTTGCTGCGAGGAAAACGATGCCTTCGCAGCCACCAACACAGTCTGTAGACTGTATATTTAGCCTGGAGATTGAGTAGTTAGTGTACAAACATGTTTTTATCATCTGTAAGCATTCCCAAAATAAGTACCTCTGGGGACGGAATGGAAGTCTGATAGATTCCAGTCCCTAATGTGCTTTGAAATTTTCTTATCACAGAAGGGAGATCGCAGGGCTCTCTTTTTCCCATGCTCAAGATATCTTTTTGGTGACTTCACATTCTATAAGCTATTTTTAGTGGTTAAATACTCGCTTCTTAAGAGCAAAGCTGCCTCTGTCCATTTGTGGTCTGGGAATAAAAAGAATCTCAAAATATCGACAAAGTGTACAGCCCTGTTCTATTGATCTCGTCTGGCTAGAAATTACCTAAATATTTCATCAGAGCAGAAAATACACCTGGCACCTTAAAATACTGGCATAACAGTAGTTCTATATAAACTGGCTTTCTTTAGGGGATAAAAAGTCCTCTTAAAATTTGTTACTGTTCAAAAATTTTTTTTAACATTTTCAAACTGGAAATGATCAATAATTATTTAAAAAAATCAAAATCCTAATGTAAATATTGAAACCAAAAATGTTCCCAAGGCCAATTAACTTAGAGTTTTTTTAAGGATGGGAGAGGTGTGAAGAAGGATAAGATTATACCTAGGATAGGATCAATTTTGGAGTTTTATTGGAAAAATGTATACCAGTGGAATCATGTTTTTAAAAACGTGTAGAGCTTTTTTACCATAAGACACTCCCCTTTGATATCTCTAATGTCATATGTAAAAATCGCTTCATAAGGCTGGGTGAGGTGGCACATGCCTGTAATCCCAGCTACTCGGGAGGCTGAGGCAAGAGAATCACTTGAATGCTGAAGGCAGAGGTTGCTGTGAGCGGAGATCGCGCCACTGCACTCCAGCCTGGGCCACACAGCAGGACTCTTTCTCAGGAAAAAAAAAAAGTCAATAACATTTGTCCTTCTTTTATTTGCCATATCTGTTTGTTCAACAAGTAGAAAGCCAAATTGTGTTTTAGGGAAAGAAAAAGTGTGGTACAGACAGGACTATATGCCAACCAGATTACAACAGTTTATCAGTTATATCTGAGATTTTGCATAGCCAGTTCTTAAAACACATTTGGACTCTTAATCCTCAAGCAAGAATTTTACATGCATCCATATTGCCTGTTCCCTGCAAAGCAGCACATCTCTGCTGAAAAATGCTCACATCCGCTCCTCTGTTCACTCAACGACAAAACAGGGACATTCGGGCAGTTTTTCAAGTAAAGCTACCCACTGGCTTAGGTGGAATGCGATACCTTATTTCTTTCATTTAACTTCCATTTTGTCTCTGGAAAAATACCTAAGCAAACTGACTGCTTTTTCTGGTAAAGTAGCCATTTCTTTGTGATTGAAAATCATGAACTTTAATGAATGGGGGCCGGAAGGCTGAGCCCTCAAGACCATGGAGCAAGGGAGAGGTGAAGGCAGCTGGAGAGAAATGTGGGAGACTCCACAGAGCCTTCCCAGAAGGACGGGGCGACTTGGGCTTAACCCTGGTCCAGTTCAGGTCAGTGTCAGGGCCCAGAGAGTGCTTATCAGATGGCGGAGAACGGCGGCAGGAGCACAGGTGGCAAGGAATCTTGGAGTCTAGGTAGGAAAAGAGAGCAAAACGCGCTGAAGACAGACACTAAAGGCTGTGGGTATCAGACAGGCCCAGGCCCCACCTGCAGGAGGCTGACTCCCTGTGCCCAAGGCTCACCCGCAGCCAGAGGGAACCTTGCATCTCAGGCCAGCAGGTGGCCTGGGCTCCATCCCATCCCGTCAGCGCTGCTCAGTGGGATCTGCAGCTGCTGGTATACTCAGTGACTTCAGCTGGGAGGGGCAGATAAACATTGCAGAAAATCACTTATTTGCATTCATGACTCTTCCAGATCCTTTAAATTATCTCACTTAGCCATTAAATTATTTTGGTTAGACAGTAATTGTATTCTCTCATTAGCAAAGTGGGAGGTTTAACATTTTGCATTTCATAAGCCTGGAAAAACTGCAGTTCTTAAATCTCTTAGATAGTTAGGTTGTTAAAATTCAGAGTTAAAAAAAAAGCCTACTGCAAAAAAAAAAGAAAAAGAAAAAAAGAAATTAAAAAGTCCCCAGACTTGAGAATATGTACAGTGTTTAACAAATCCCTAAAAGCCTTTCCTGGCCATCAAGGCTGTGGACAGTGGCTCCCCCCGCACCCCCCTGCCCCGCCACCGCAGGTGACCTCTGCTCAGTGGCTCCCAAACCCAGTGCCTCTGGCCAGCCTGGGCTGTTGCGCCTTAGAGCCTGGCACGCCTTGTGCCAGAGTCCAGCATGGCCTTGAAACGTCTTAATCCACCTCTTACATTCATTGACTGTGCTGCACCATTTGACTCTTTCTTTTGAAACCACACTTTTTTCTCTGATGCTGCTCTGCTGGCTTTGTTCTCCAATTCACCCCTTCTCAGCCTTTTCTGCCCGCTCCTTGAGGAATGCCTTCTTCCCAGCTCTGTTTTAGACTTTTGTGTTCCACATTCCACTTGCTCCTCACAGGCAATCACTTTCACACCCATTGTTTCAACGCCCATTTGCATGTGGCAGCCCAGAACTTTCCTTGGAGCCTATAACTCCATAAGAATATCCTGTATGTGCCTCAATGTCTCTGAAATGAATCTCATTTTTTTCACTTGCACATCTCTTTCCTTCTAAAGTTTTACCACGTCTACCAATATGCCAGTCCCACAAGCGAGCCAATACCCACCCAACCTGTAGCCTCGGCAACACTCATTCACAAGTCCTTCAGCTGGGGCTCTCTAGATGTCCTTAGATCTAGACTCTCTCTTCCCCCAGGCCTCTCCTCAGCTGAGGGATGTGTCAGGCTTTGTCCAGATTGTTCCCATGGCCTCCTAGCGTTTTCCTCTCCTGATTTTGCTCCTCTCTGAACTATTCTTCAAGTTGCAGTCAAGTTAATTTATAAGACAACACAATGAATCTATGTTAACCCTGCTTAATATTTTTCATGGATTCCCCATACTGACAGGATAAAATCCAAACTCTTTAGAATGGCATGTATTTTACAGCAGTGCATTTGTTTGCAAAGAACGCAAATGGAGTCTCCCTAAAAGGGGTATTTATGAAAGTCTACAGAGCTATCCTATGGCACACAAAGCAGGAAGTGCACCACCAACGCCCCACTCATGACTCGCATGGCCTCGTCTCCACTTTCCCTGAGTGCCTGTGCTTCTCTCTACAGACCTGCTCAGCTGTACTTCAGGAGGTGGAGAAGAGCTGCTTCAGCCCCTGCTCTCGGTACCTCTGCTCACACATCCATCACACACCAATCAGACCTTTAGTTCATATTTTGGAAGACAAGTCTTACGCTTGTTTCAGCCAAGTCTATTGTTAGATTCCTCCAAGATTACAGAACCAACCCTTGTCCAATCAGCTCTAGCCAGGGACAGCCAGAGACAGGCATGTTAACTTGGCTCACATCTCCAGCAAGGTTGTGAATGATGGGCAGCCCCTGTAAAAAGGCATGTCTTGGGCAGGCGCCCCTAAATTTGAGTACATTGCAACAAGCAGAGCCTTTATTACCCTCTCACTCCCCAACCTTTCAGCCTGATTTCTGCCTGTAGCTCTCCCTTTCCATACCACAGTCCCGCAGTGTCCTGGGTTCCCGATGCATTTCCACTCTTGTTTACATGCACATGTGCTATTTATCTGCTTAGAATGCTTTCTCCTCTCTCCAAAGCTACCCTTGAACCCCAGGAACCATATACTTGGCAAACTACTAGTTGTCCTTCAAAATTCTGCGTAAATGTCACCTTCTCTTTGAACATCCTTAAAATCCACCCCCCTAGAATTAGACGTTCCATCTCAAGGATCCCGTCATGCTTTAAACATCTTCCAGTAGTACTTAAATGCACTATACTGACATCTTTCATTTCCATCTCTCTTCTTAACAAAGAGCATCCCCTTTTAAAAATATTTTCTTTTATTTTTTTAATTGGCACATAATGTTCATGGGATACATAGTGATGATACATACAATGTATAGTGATAAGATCAGGGTAATTAGTGTATTTATCTTCTCAAACATTTGTCATTTCTCTGTGTTGGGAACATTCAATATCCTCCTTCTAGCTATTTGAAAGCATATCATGTATTATTGTTAACTATAGTCATCCTACAGACCTGCGGAACACCAGGACTACTCATCCTATCTAGCTGTAATTTTTTATCCTTTAAAGAATGTCTCCCTATCTCCCTTTTCCCTTCCTCTTCCCAGCCTCTAGTACCCTCTAAAGAACATCTGTTTTAATAGCAAAGTCCATATTTCTTGGTTACTGCTTAGGCACCAAGCATGGCTCTTGAGACACGACGAGCCTCAAATCTGAGCGGGAAATAAGAGATGAGAAGAGAAATGAAGAGGATTAAGGAGAGGTGTGGTACAGCCAGACTTGTTCTTTGTGTTTTCAGAATCAAACCCTCACTGTCTGTTTGCATGCACAGTATGCCTCTACGGGGCTGGAGGTGTTGACCTAAAGTAAATGTCTGGCCGGTGGGTGGGTTTTGAGCTGCCCTCCCCTCTCCCGCCAGGTTGGCCACTTTCCCCACCCCTTTGTCTCTCCCTTGCTTCATTCTGCAAGACCTCGGTATATCACATCCACTGAGAGACATCTGCACCCCTACTTGAAAGAAGCCTTCTTGGCTGCAGAAGAAATAGCTTTTCTTTCAAGATTCCCATAGCAATTCCTCTGTTGTTTGTTTTTCTGACATTTTGTCTTGTCTGACGTCTTGAAGCACTGGCTTTACCTTCAGTGCCTGTCAATTCCCTGGTTCATGGTGGATTTGCATCAGACTAAGCTTGAGGGCAGGGACCAAAGTTACTTGGCGTGACTCTATATTTCCATATCCTAGCACTGAGCCTGGCAGATAGCAATCAAGCAATAAATGCTATCTGTTACTTTTATTATACTTGCACAATTTCCTGTGACATTCAGGTTTTGTGCCTTCCCCTGCTCTCCTAACCATCACTAACTACCACGTTCCTGCATTTCTCACTGTTCAGGCATCCAACAGGCACATATATTCAAAGAAAGATCAGTGCCTGACCCAAAATCCTTTCAACCAAAGAAAAGAGTAACACATTGATAACTACATGGAATAGAGACATCCTGCCACCAGCAGTCAGGAGGTCCTCTGGTTCAAAAACCACATTTGATGTGTGTACTCCTGGGACCCTCTCTCATGATAGCCGGTTCCCTGCAATTCACTGTGTGCTGGCAACATTTGAATTGAGTTTTGTTCTTTCCTGCCACTCTTCCTCTGCTTATAGTCTTACTGTTTCAGCTCCCTCTGCTGACCCCCTGCTCTGTCTCCTTGCACAGCTGGCCAAGCAGAAAGCAGCCTCTGCTAACTGTCACGTGGCTCAATGCCAGGAGCTCTTTGCCAGTGATTTCTATGCTTTTTAAAAGAGCTCCATAACACTGGCTAAGGAGCCTAAAGTTCTGTTGAGGAGGGTTTTTGTCTCAATCCATTCAGGCTGCTATAACAATAATAGCATAGACTGCATGGCTTATAATCAACGAGCCTTCATTTCTCATAGTTCTGGAAGTTGGGAAGTCTAAGAGTAAGGTGCAGCAGACACAGTGCCTGCTGAGGGCCTGCTTCTTGCATCATAGACAGCTGTCCTCTCGCTGTGTTCTCATGTGGCAGGAGTTAGAAATCTCCCAGGGGTCTCTTATAAGGACGCTAATTCCATTCATGAGGGCTTCACCTTCATGACATAATCAACTCACAAAGGCCCCACCTCCTAATACCATCACCTTGGGGATTAGGGTTTCGAAATATGAATTTGGGGTGACACAAATAGTCCACAGCAGTCCTATTTCTCATTTTTGTGTCACCATTGCTATTTGCCTGGAGTGTGACAGATTTGGATCTGTTCACCAGTGTTCCTTTCAACAATCAGCCTACACGGTTAGGTTGGACATTGTACACAAACTTAAGAATTAGCAGGGAAAGCCAAGAGTAGTCTAGATGATTAAAAAAAAAATCCCCTATCTGGAAATCAAAATCTCCTAACATTAAGTATGAGTTTATCCATGGAACTAATGTTTTAATTCATTTCTCCAAAGCCATTGATCATTCTAGTGGTAATTATCTGCCTCTGGAAAAGGCTAAAAAAAAAACACTCAGTGATAAAAATGAGTTTTCAGAAACTATTAAATGAAGGGAAAAAAAGGGAGAATAAGAAAATAGTGGATAGAAAGGCAAAGGAAATAAATAGTGAAGAAGTAAATGTTTAAACACAAAAAGTAATATGAAAATAGGAGTATAGGAAGTAGGTCTAGACAGCTAGCATTTAGGAGGAGGTTAAGGTTAAGCATTAGGAGGACTTTTTCTCATAAGAGAAAAAGTCAAGCATATTGAATGCTGAAAAAGAAGTTAATATTGATATAGGCATTTTTTTCTACTGATTTCTTCCCTTTTTCTTTCTGGCTATATTGGCTAATGCCGTGTTCCAAACCACTTCAGTGTTTAACCAAGTTGCAGACACTACTGGAACATTAAGAACACATGTAATTGATTTAGTTCCCCCGTTAATGTGAAATTACACTTCCAACTGAACTAAACCAATGAAAAAATACAAACATAAATTTAGGAGAAAACAACACATTCAATTAATATTAGTGTTCCAAGGCTGAAATAAGAAACTGAACATTCTTAATTCCATTCTTGGCCGGGTGCAGTGGCTCATACCTGCAATCTCAGCACTTTGGGAGACTGAGGCAGGAGGATTACTTGAGGTCAGGAGTTCGAGACCAGCCTGGCCAACATGGTGAAACCTTGTCTCTACTAAAAATACAAAAAAATTAGCCAGGCATGATAGCACATGCCTGTAGTCCCAGCTGCTTGGGAGGCTGAGGCAGGAGAATTGCTTGAACCCAGGATGCAGAGGTTGCAATGAGCCCAGATCATGCCACTGCACTCCAGCCTGGTGACAGAGCAAGACTCCATCTCAAAAAAATAAAAAATATAATAAAATAAATTCCATTCCATGCCCTGCCTTCCTTGTGGATCGTTTCATCTTCATATGCTCACTTATTCACCAGTGATACAGAATGGACACTCCTCCCTCATAAGGACCTATTGAGCAAAGTTAAATCTACAATAGGATGTGTCTCTCTGCTTACAGGTAAATTAGATTTGGTGTCTTTGAAGTTGTTAGAAAAATATGACAGCTACACAATGATTAGTATGTATTGTACTCAAACTTTACCAAGAAGCAAAAGCATTCTGTGGACACTCTAAACTTCCTCTCCTACTTTGAAGAGATCTCTAGATTCCATCACACTTGGGACTGCATCAGACCAATACTATCTGCTGTGGCTTGAATGCCCCCTCCAAAACTCATGTTGAAATTTAATTGCCATTGTGATGGTATTAAGAGGTGGGACCTTTAAGAGGTGATTACGTCATGAGGCTCCTGTCCCCCTGAGTGGATTAATGCTGTTACCATAGAAGTGAGCTCCTGATAAAAGGATGAGTTTGAATGATTTCCTATCTCTGTCTTGCACCCTCGCTTGCCATGTGATGCTTTCCACCATGTTATGATGCAGCAAGAAGGCCCTCACCAGATGCAGCCTCTTGACCATGGACTTCCCAGCCTCCAGAACCATACAGCAAATCAATCTTTTTTCTTTATAAATTATCCATTCTGTGGTACTCTGTCGCAGCAGCATAAATGGTCTAACACACCACTCTGTGGTAAATCTGAAACATAAATCCACATCATGATCCTACCTATGTGTCCACAGCTTATCCTGGGATGGAGCAAATTTTCTGGAACATTTGTAAAACTAGATAAACTCCAAAGCCTAACAGGCTCCTGTTGTTTCATAAGAGGTACAGGGAAGCCGCTGGGATGGGCAATAGTCCAGATAGCAAAGCCAAGGACACATCTACAGGCCATCCTAGGGAAGGCCATTTGTCACTGCTGCCCAACAGGCGCACCCACACCCTGGTGGTTGTGATTTCACCAAATACTTGATCAAGGAGCTGAACACTGAAATCAGTGTTCCAAACTGCTTACTACTCCTATTTGTTTGTACTTTCACTGCCTACATGAAAAATTTGTTGATCTTACATTGAATATATAAGTAAACATACAATACTTTTAAAATGAAGAATATTTTTAAGTACTTACGTACTGAAGATTACATATGAAATTACATATGAGATTACCTCTTACATATGAAATATTTGTTTTTTTGAAATATTTCTTTATGGTAGAAATTTATTTAGATTTTTATTTTGACCATTTCTTGCACACTGAAGTCATATTTTAAAATTAGTTTTGGGGAGACAATTCGTGGGTCTCTCACATTTCTGCATGTCTTACAAACAGAAGCACTAGCTATCTTTGCTCTCAGCTGTCTTTTCAAGGAGGCCTTGTATAGCATGGGAAGACAGTGATAGGATCTCCTTCTGGACCAATGGATAAAATTGCTTACAGCCTTGAAAGACAAAGATAGTATCTCCCTCCACAACAAGAGACATATACATGCATGCTGTACAGTATAATAAAAATGACATTTCCTTCCTAGCAAATAGCAAGCATGCCAAGTGCCAATTACAAAAGATTCAGGTTTCCCAAGGTCAACTTCCTCTTTTCTAACACAACCCACTGTATGTTCAGATGTCACTTGGTCACCTTCTCATTGCCTTGGTGGATTAGGGCTGGGGAACTGGCCCAAGAGTGCTTATATTCTGAATACTACTATTGCTATGAATAATAAAATCCTTTGTCTTTGATACAGAAGTCTCATGTCTTCTTCCAGCAATCATAGCAAACTAATTTGTTAGCTTGCAATTTGAGTAAAACATCAGACCCTTCTCAGTTCATAACATGAGTTTTGCTAAAAGTGCATTAAATATGAAGAGGCAAGTGACATATGCATTTTTAAAATATTTTATTCAAAAAAATTAAAATTTCTTTTAAAATCAGGCTCATAGCATGCTGCATTCCCTAACAGCAGATTTATTCAAGAGTTACAGAGTGGTTTTATTTCATATTGTATAAGAAAAAAAGGAATCACACTCTGATTCATATAAACTCTTTTATGACTTCTCCTTTAAGAGATGAGCTTTTTTCAGTCTATGCTAATTGAAGGTTTTCAGCCTGAACTTTCTCCAATTGCTTCCTCTTAATTCAGAAGTGTTCTAAATCTACACTAATCCTTTCTCCTTCTCTTTTGTTCTAGAAGCATTGTGGCAAATCCTTGCAAACTGGCCCCAATGTGTTATGCGGCCACATCTTTGTGCTTTTCCTAGTTCTCTTTCTTATTGAATCTGCCCTGCCCTGTGACCTGCAGAGTACCTTCACTTGATCTTGGAATATGGCAGAAATGATGCGTGAGTCTCAGTGCCTAGGCCTTAAGAGACTCTGCAGCCTTCTCTCACTTGAACCACCATGTGAGAGGTCTGGGCCATGCTGCTGGAAAGGCCACACGGGAAGAGACACACTACGGGATGAAAGAGCATCCACGGCGTTTCAGCCACCCAAGCTAACACAGTCAAGGAGTCAGACCAACCACCTTAGATCCTCTGCTCCAAACTGTGCCACTCGAGATGTGCTCAGCTGAGACGAGTAGAGCAGAGAGAAGACATCTCAGGGGAGCGCAGCCAACACACAGAACTGTGAAAAATAATAAAATGGTGTTGTTTAAGCCTCTAAGTTTTGTGGGGCTTCTGTTTTGTTTTGAGACAGGTCTCACTTTGTCACCCAGGCTAGAGTGCACTGGCGTGAACACAGCTCACTGCAGCCTAGAGCTCCCAGGCTCAAACAATCCTCCTGCCTCAGCCCCTCAAGCAGCTGGGACTACAGGCATGTGCTCCCATATCCAACTAATTTTTTTTTTTTTTGTAGAGACAGTGTTTCGCCATGTTACCCACACTGGTCTCAAACTCGTGGGCTCAAGCAATCCCCCTGCCTTGGCCTCCCAAAGTGCTGGGATTATAGTCACTGTGCACCTATAAACTATGAACCACAGCGTCCGGCCATGCCTCCAAGTTTCTGAGGATATTTGTCATATGACAATGCATAAGTGAAACAGACACAACTGTCCCTCTTCTTTTCCGAGACTTGCTCCTTCTGAACTGTTGAGACCCCTCTTTATCTTTCCCTAAAGTCATCATTACCCTGTTTCTCTACTTGCTCCTTTCACTTGTCCTATAATGTACTGTAGTTTCCTCATCCAAAGAAATAAAAGCACCCCTGTAAACGATATTTTCAGGGAACTATTTATCTACATGCTTCCATACACCAATAATTGTCGAGAAAAAATACACTCTACGCTCATTTTACTTCATCTTTACTTCCCATTCAATTCTATCCTCTGGCTGTGCTCTTCTCTTTCTACAGAAAGTAATGGCTTAAAAGCCACATAAAACTTGCTAATCGCCAGTCCTGATCCCAACCCTCACGCATTCGGAACCGTTTAGCATTTGACTCTTGTAACCGCTATATTTTTCAAATTATCTTATTGGCTTCTATGATGATAAGCACCCCTTATTTTCTTGTAACATCTCCAGCTACTCCTTCTTAACATTTTTTTCCAGCTCTTCTTTCTCATCCGACACTCCCCCGAACCCTCTGCTTGAGGCACATCTGCTGACTCTGTCCCCTCCCACTTCTCTGTTTCTTCTAAACTCTGTGATGTCCCTGTCTATGAGTGGCTCAATTCTGTAACGTCAATGACTAAAGTCTGTAATGTTGGGTCCCATGACTGTATTTATTTATTCATTTATTTATTTATTTTTTATTATTATTCTGAGATGGAGTTTCACTCTTGTTGCCCAGGCTGGAGTGCAATGGCATGATCTCGGCTCACCCCAACCTCCACCTCCTGAGTTCAAGTGATTTTCCTGCCTCAGCCTCCTGAGTAGCTTGGACTACAGGTGTGCACCACCATGCCCGGATAATTTTATATTTTTAGTAGAGACAGGGTTTCTCCATGTTGGTCAGGCTGGTCTCGAGCTCCTGACCTCAGGTGATCCACCCTCCTCGGCCTCCCAAAGTGCTGGGACTACAGGCGTGAGCCACTGTGCCTAGCCTAAGTTTGTTGAACTAATTATTGAGTGGATTTAGATCGTCCCCTGAGTTCAGCACTCTTGCTAACTTATACCTATTTGTAAACACTAAATTTAAAATAGGTTTTAAAGAATAGAAATTTCCACATCAGTTTGTTTCATTATGGCTGTGATCACTGGTAGATTTCCTCCCACAGATTCCTTTGGAAATCCTGATAAACCTTGGACCATATCACCACAAGTGGACATAATTACAATTACATTCTGGGTGTTCTTTGTACACCCAGGTTAGCCAAAGTCCATGTTTCTTCTTCCCTTTGCTTATAAATAAAACTACTGTTGCTACGGATGTGTCATCAGAAATATGCTACCAGGAAGTAAAGGAACAACCATAAAAAATGCAACCCAGTGAAAATTGAGCAGCTCCATTCCTGCAGTATATAATTCTGTTTAAAAGAAGATTTCCTGCAGGAATGTGGGATGGAGCCTAAAGTTAAATGACATGATAGTTGAGTTTGTTGAGAGAAAAGAAAGAAAGAAAATATGAGCTTAGAAGCCACCAAGCCCTTACACGGTGGAATTCTATCGTGATGAGTACTTGAGTACACGAGATAGTCTAAACACTTTCAACTAAAATGATCAGACTTACAGGGAAGACCTTTCACTACATCAAGGAGCAGGAAGGAAGGAAAGATATTGTCAGCTTTTGAAATTCCAATGTAAACAAAACATGGGAAAGTCTTTTACAGGCCGTGGCATACGTTCTTTCTTTTTCCTCTTTAAAAAGTAAAGACGCTGCTTTCCTTAATAGTTAACTAAACCTGGAATGTTTATGACTGATTATTCTGAAGCGATTGTACTCCCCAATCCCTGAATGTTACAATCTAGCATAGAGCGACTGGAAATGGAAAAATAAATAGCCAGGGAAAAAATAACTTGCTGCATTAGCTTTTCTCCCAGAGAAGAATTTGAAACCTGCAACAAAACTAAATGGGGGCCTTCTTCTTCCTTTCTAGGAAGAAAATTCAGGATACCCAAAGACAACAGCCACTCCGACAATACTCTGGACATGCTGGGCTCATAGATAGAACTGAGGGTTTTTTGTTTTTTCCTTTATTTTTTTTAGCCAACTTTAGAAGTTAATCATGTATATGACATTATTATTTCCCCTATTGCCTCAAATATCAAGGGGCTAATTATGTGTTATTCAGACTCGATTTTTTTTCCTGTTCTTTTCCTCTGGTTGCTATTTAACTGGTTTCTGTTTATTAGCCTTTTTATCAGAAAAGACTGACAGGCTGGGGAAAAGGAGGCAATAAAATAAACCAGTTAACTTAGTTACTCAGAATTGTAAGACTTTTTGTAGGAAGCATCTTCTGTTCCATGAGGGAGGGCAAGGATTGACTTTCACACTATCTTCCCAGCATCTAGAACTGCCCGGCGCATGCTAGATATGCAACAGATGTTTCTCAAAGTAAGGGAGAAAGGTGAGTTAAATCAGACCTGGGGATTTGTAGATTACCTAAGATATTCTTGTCTTCCATTTGTATGAATCCTGAGAGTTGGCATCGGTAACAGCCACGAGACATACCTCAGTCTGTGCCCAGCAGTGTCACAGGTTAGCTGTTTGGCTTTACAGCATGGTTGTGACTCCCTGATCCACATCCAAACCCCAGGCTGCTTCAGAGTTTCCAAGGTAGGAGCTTTCAAACTGCTTTTACTGCAACCCAGAGTAAGAAATAAATTTTCTATCAGTACCCAGTACACACACCACACCACAGAGAGAGAGGTGTGTTTTGAAAACCAAAAAAAAACTTTCATGAAATAACACTTAGCCTTACTATGTAAAATATACTGGTCTGTTCTAGTCTATCTCCTTTTTGAGTGCTGTTTGCAACCTACTAGATTAATTTCAGACCAATGAAGAGGTTGTGACCAACAGTTTGAAAATGACCCCTGAGGACCACCTTAGCCAGGCATGAGGAAGGAGGAATGATTGCAGAGTGTGGCAGAGAGGTCTTAAGTCGTATTTCTGGTGCAGAAGATCCATGGAGGAACAGCATCTCAACATCTCTCAGCAAGTGACTGACTTCTAGACCTTCCAGGGCTAGGTAAAAGAATAAAGATTACAATGGTTTCACCAGTTCTGGGTAAAAGAATAAAGGTTGTGATGGCTTCAGATGGGTTTGAAGTTCACACGGCAGCTCTGTAACCAGCCAGAGCCCACGGTTCTTCACAGCAGGGCATCGCTCGGCTTTCGGCACCCCTTGTCACGCACATCAGTCACTCATAGCTAGTGACATGCAGTCTTCGCAGGGCACACATACTTGGGTTTTGAAGGTTATATACAAGTTTCTCAGCAAGTTTCACAATGGTGAAGACAATGTAGCAATATCATTAGCAATGAGAAGAAAAAAATAGTCTTGATGTTGGTATTCGATAGGACTGATGTTAAACACAATTGAGTCACTCTAAGGACTGAAAAATCCCTCTAGGGAACTAAAGCAAATACCTCAAGATGTGGGTGGAGCAGTGGTGCTTTCATTTTCATTATCCAGGTACTGTTTATTCTTGGCTTTCATGCAACCATTCATCAAATACTGTGTGTCTCCTCCATGGCAGGCACTGATCTAACAAGAAGAGGCTCTGTCCTGATGGGGCTGCTTGGAATCTGGGTGATGACACTCTATAGATCATATCAGAAACTCAATGTGCGCCTTTCCTTCATAGAGCATTGTTGCACATCTTTCATAGAGAAAGATAAAACTCACCCTGAAAACTATTTCCAGGACACTCAAATTTGCTAGATGTGAGCACAAGAAGAAATGAGACACGGCGTCGAGTCTACTATAGTAAAAGTGGTGCTGATAAAACCAAAATCATTTTCAGCCCACCTAACCTTCCTGCTGTTTCTCTAGACACACTTTATTCCTTCACCAAAATTGCATTGAGTGTCCTCCCTATGCAAAATGCTGTGTTAGGACTGGCACCCAAAGATGCAAGACACAGCCCCTGCCCTGACAGTGCTCACAGGGGAGTGTGGAGACAGGCACACACACGATTTCCAGTGTCACTTCATGAGAGCTATAAGGAAATGCGAGAGAGTGCCATAAACGCGTAAAGAGAGGAACGCTTAAATCAGCAAAAGGAAGTCAGAGGCTTTTGCAGAGGACATGGTGCTTGAGCACGGAAGGATGAGCAGCAATGTGCCAGATGGACAAGAAGTAGGGGTACTAATGACGGCGGGAACAGCACATGCAAAGTTACGGAGCATGAAACGAACATTCCAGCTGCAGAAAGGGCCAGTAGTTCAGTGAGAAGAGCTGAAGGTTAGGCTGGTAGTGGCCTTGTAGGCCTTGCTCAGAGAGAGATCTAGAGGAAGGACATTGATTTGAGAGTCATCAAGAAACAACTGTCACTTAAAGCCTTGGACATAGCTGCGGATTTCTAGGAAGATGAAAGAACATGAGATGCTCATAATTCCCAGTGTTTAACTTACACCGGAGCGATTGCGCCCTTGTTATACTATTCCCTAGTCCTAGCCAACCACATCCTCATCACGCTAATATTTATCAAGACTCTACCAGGACTTTCACATGTAGCATCCTCTTTAATCCTCACAACAGCCCAATTAAACAGGTCCTATAATTTGTCTCGTTTATCCAAGAGCACAGATCCAGTGATACAGTCTGGCTCTAAACCACCAGGCAGTCTGACTCCAGAGCCCCTGGGCATGCAGCCACTATGCAATCCTGATATATCTGTAGAGGGGTGGCCTGTACCACGTCCCCAGGCTTTTTCACCTAGATAATAAATGCTGTCTACAGAGCGCTGACTTGCAGTGCCCTAAAGGAGAGGAGTAGCATTCTGCCTGCCTGAGCTCTCTTCACTTGAGTGTTTATTATCGGAACTCTCTTGTTTCTAGAATTATTTCTCACTGTTTCTCCTAGGCTACCTTTGAAACTTCTTTAAATCTTTTAACCTAGATCAGCTGTTGCTATTTGGCATTTATTGTTGCATAATTTGCAAGGTGCAGAATTAGGACTTAGTAGGATCCTCTGAAAACCTACAGGAAGAAATCACTTCCAGTGCATTCTGCAGTGGGAACCACCGTGACAACGCTGGTGCTTGTCTAAGCTATAAATTTCCTGGGAAATGGAGCTTAGTTTTTACTTACAACAACTGTTGAGTATAAATCAAACGAAAACTTCTGAAGCCAGATGCCTCATTTGTTATTTTAACATGCATTTTATTTTCTAAAACGTCCATGTTATCTTCTCCACTAGGAAACTGAGTCGCTGAAATAATTTCTGTGTATTTGTGGGTAGAAGCCTTCATGGTCAATCAACACTCACTTGTCCTGTGAACTTGAACTCTTGTGTGATTTTACTGGTGACTGGATTCAAAAGTTATATCTAGCTAGCTGTGGGACAGTGCCAAATTCAATAGCTCTCACAGAAGTCACAAAAATGCTCAGCAGAATGGGTAATAAAGTAGTTCCTTTAAAGTTAAATGAGTCATAATTCAGCATGAAGTAGACTGATTAGGGAAACACAAGTTGGCGGTTGGTTGGGGTCCTGGAGTCATCTCAGCAATCAAGACGGTTCTGATGGCCGTTGGCACTAATACACAGTAGGATGGCTCATGTCAAGAGTCCATTCAAACACTTATGGGTTCAGAGATTCAAACCCAACTTCAACCTTTTGGTGTTTGAGTTTGTTAACTGTTGGCTAAATGCCACTTCCTGTTCCTAAGAAAAGAGGCTTGAAAAAGTCTCATAAAAAATGACTTAAAAGGCTTCCCTGACTTCAAAGTGTTCTTACAAAACAACATTTTGATGAGTTAAGTGTAAGGGAATCAGAAACATACGGATTAAATTTCCCTTAATAGAGTCATGTGTCTAAAAATGGAGGAAGGCAAAAATGGCAAGTTTGTCATGCTCAACGTGTTTCAAAAAATGTCCAGAGTAGCTATTGATCCCTGAGTAATCAAATCCTTCCATTCCAATATAACACCAACATCATAATATCTAGAAGAGCATGTCAAAGGGCCCAAGTGAATAAAGACAAACACATTTGTGCAGGTCAAGCTATACCAGGTCACCCTCTCTAAGGCCCATTATCCCAGCCTCCACTCGAAAGGATAATGGCAGTGTCACAGGACAGAGCCGCAAAGAACAAAGAGAATTTCCAAACCATGCCTCTCACTCAGCTCAGCAATTGTCATCAACTCGCCACACTGACGCATTTAAAGCTGACTTTACTGTCTGAATGAAGAGAATACAAACCAGCACTCATTAACCATGAAGTGTCTTGCAAAAGGCAACAGTACCTGTATGTATTTAATTTCCACATCATTAATCATGATTCTGTGGGTTTCTAACCTTTGAAAATAAATAAACTAATTATGATTTTCCAAGAGAGGAAAATGTCTTTGGGCAAGAATATAAGTGCAGAATATAGAAAGAAATAAAAAACATTTGAACCAGTGATGAACAAATACAAACTCTGGTCAAGAATTACTGCTTGTCAATTTTGCCACTAATTTAACTGACAGCTAATACCTGATTTATTCTGTGTTTGAACACTTTATTAGAACAAAGCATTTAACCTTGGAGGGCAAATGAAAACAAGACCATACATGTTTGGCAGAGAGCATTCGATATCAATGGATATAAGTTTTGCTAACTATTAAATACTCAATGTAACTCAAGTTAATATTTTGTATTTGGCCAAATATAATTGAATGAATTTTTAAAACAGTATTGCACAAGATGGATCCTCTGTGGTTATGGCTGACTCAGACCATAAAAGAAAAATTTCTAGAAGTGGACATTTTTTATTTTAATTTGCTTGTGACACGAACTGCTACATCACCACATAAATGAGCTGCCTTCTTAAAAAAAAAACTGGTGGGAAGAATAGAGCCAAATCAATTGAATCCATAAGTACTTTTTCTAAATAGCACAGTTTTATTTATGTCAATACATTTCTTAGAAAAGAAAATGAATAGAACCTTCGAATATTGGCTTAAGGAATTTATTTATGTTTATATGTAATTCCAATGAAAGTAGATTGGGAAATGAATATATAAAATTAACTAAATATTACTATTTTATTATTTTTCTTTCAGTATATCTTTAAATTTTATTCAGGTAGACATGCACTATTTTAGCAGCTACCTTGCGATTGAAAAATCAACTGCAGATTTTTCTTTCTTTCTGTGTCAAAAATCACACTATCCCTAAACATATCCCATGACCCAAAGACCCCAGACTAAGGACCAACCTGGCCATGTTTCTATACCTCAGCAGAGTCTGGGGGTCCAGGGAGTATTGCCAATGATGTCACCTAATTTTAGCGTTAGCTACTAGGACAGAATTTTGAATGCTCCATGAGAGAAGAGATTTAGGAGACCTGCTGAACCAATTGCTAAAGACGAATATAATGTCAAGAGGACCAAGAAATCGCTAATATTACATAAGTGCTCAAAGCAGTGATTTTGCTTAATTGCTTACTAAATCCCTGGAGGGAAATATTTGCCTTGATGGATCTTGATTATCACTGAATTTACTGTGTCGTGCTTGAGAAGAGGCGATAGGCATAGAGCATTCCCACAGCGGACACAACAAATACCCTTTCTTTCAATAAAGCTGATATGCAATTTCCTGTCCCTCATTCTTCTCTAAGTCTTGCAGTTATCTCCCCAATTTCCTTTTCGTACATCTTGAATATTTTTTCAAGGTGTCTTTATACGTATTGAGTAGGTATGCTCTCATATAACACAATTGCAGGCCAGGAAGCCTTTAATCCAGCAAATTCCTCCCCTTCCAGGAATGCGGCACTTGAAATTCCGCTCTTAGAGAACCACTGACGTGGGTTAAATATTGTACCCTGAGGTTTTCCTTCTGAAATTTATACCCTTCCCGAAGGGCTGGGAATGGAGCCACTAAAACCTCGGCGTTAATTAACTCATCAAGAGCTCTCGGTCTAGTTGGGGAATACAGAGTGTCTGTGAGGATGAGAAGGAGAAGAAGGGGCAAGGTGATTCTAAGACAAGTTTTGCCAAATGTGCAGCTTTGCCTCCAACTAGTCCCACCGCATATCCCCCAGGCTGTCATCTTCTACCACCAAAATCACGTTTCTTCCATATTGTAGAACAATTTTTACATGTATCTTTAAAACTTGTGTTATCTGAACATCAAATTCAAATAACGCAACGTCATGGAGGAGTCCCCCGAAAAGGGGCGGCAGCAGCCACACCTCTCGCCGGGGCTGAGCGCTCCTTCCGCACAGCTAGACTGCGTTGATGGCCGCTGTGTTTCCTTTACTGAGAGCCTGTTTCCTAGACTCGCAAAGCCGTAACTGGAAGGAAAGTGGGGTGATGAATAAACCTGTAAGGAGTTGGTTTTAACATGGGTCTGGGTCACGTCTGGGATCAAAGCAGCAGGCAACATTGAGAATATGTTCGCAATTCATACAGCAAAGTGTCTCACCCTCTTCAAGGATCTTCCAGCGGTGGTGAGATAATCTTTTTCTCACAGAGGAAGTTCAGTTCACTTTAAAAAATTGTAATTTTTTTTTGTTTTGAGACGGAGTCTCGCTCTGTCGCCCAGGCTGGAGTGCAGGGGCGCGATCTCAGCTCACTGCAAGCTCCGCCTCCCGGGTTCCCACCATTCTCCTGCCTCAGCCTCCCGAGTAGCTGGGACTACAGGCCCCGCCACCACGCCCGGCTAATTTTTTGTATTTTTAGTAGAGACGGGGTTTCACCATTTTAGCCGGGATGGTCTCGATCTCCTGACCTCGTGATCCGCCCGCCTCGGCCTCCCAAAGTGCTGGGACTACAGGCCCCGCCACCGCGCCCGGCTAATTTTTTTGTATTTTTAGTAGAGACGGGGTTTCACCGTGTTAGCCAGAAGGGTCTCGATCTCCTGACCTCGTGATCCGCCCGCCTCGGCCTCCCAAAGTGCTGGGATGACAGGCGTGAGCCACCGCGCCCGGCTGTATTTTCTCTTTAGAGTAGATCTGGTATACTAATTTGAATCTCTGCTTTGGTTATAGCTAAGTGAAAATGATATATTTGTATGGGTATAAACTAAAAAAAGAGAATAGAGAAATGAAGAAATTTGATGTGTTAGGATAGTGAACATTGGGAGTTATTTTTCCAGCTATAATTGTTGCAATTGTGTGGAGTTGTTTTTGGTTAAGAAGAATTCTAACGTGAATCCTTTATTTTAAGCCTTGTCTTTGTTATACACTGTATAATATATGGGATTGCTGAAACTTCTGAACTATTCTAGCAGGAGATGACTCAGTAAGTTCCACAAGCTTCTTTCTTGTATCTGGATCAAAGTGCCCTCAATATTCAGCCAACATTCTGTGGTTATCATCTCCGCCTATAAAATAGTCATCTAGGCCAGGCACAGTGGCTCACACCTGTAATCCCAGCACTTTGGGAGGCCAAGGTGGGCGGATCACAAGGTCAGGAGTTCGAGATCAGCCTGACCAATATGGTGAAACCCCGTCTCTACTAAAAATACAAAAGTTAGCCAGGCGTGGTGGCAGGCGCCTGTAGTCCCAGCTACTCGGGAGGCTGAGGCAGGAGAATTGCTTGAACCCGGGAGGCGGAGGTTGCCGTGAGCCGAGATCACGCCACTGCACTCCAGCCTGGGTGACAGGGAGAGACTCTGTCTCAAAAAAAAAAGAAAAAAGAAAAACAAAAAAAAAATCATCTAACACCCATGCAGAAGAGAAACTGAGGCTCAGCCCAAATCCCCAGAAAGCATAGGAGGGCTCAGTCAGACAGGGAGCAATGGGCCAGAGACCTGGAAAAACACAGACCCAGTCACCATAGTAGTCACAAGACAGAAACTCCCTGACACAGAGTAAGAAATATTTAATATTGGAGCCATCAGTAAAGCAGGCTCACAACCGATTTATTTTGGTCAAATGCTAATAAATTCCCTGAATTCTGGAAACTAGAACAGTGCCAGGACCTGGGTTGGGCTAAACATCCGAGGTCCGGGTGAGGAGACACTAAGTGACTGCAGTTGAGAAGCTGGATGGGAGTCAACCAAACCAGGCATCCTTGCTGGTTAGTCCTTCCTCGTCCTCCTCTTCCTCCCTTGGAGTAGAGACTTGTAAGAGTATGCTCCTACCTCCAACCCTTCACTCAGTTATTCCTAGCTAGAATGTTCTAGGCCTTCCCTCTTATGCTTTATTTTTTCTCTATTTGAAAGGCTCAAAGCCACTTCCATTTGTTGCAGAAGGAAATTCCAAGCTTTCTACCCAACATCAATACTGCGCACCCCATGTATCCCATCATGGTAGTGCCCAGAAAATGTTTTTGTTACTCTTAGGATATTTATTTAACATACTGTAACTGGAAGGAAAAAAAATATTATATTTACATTTGGTATATATTTATATGTTATTGTGTTTATTTAAAATGTTATTTTTATTTATATTAATCACACTAATAATAATGGCACAATTATAATTAACTCTGAAAAACGGGAATAATAATATGACTGGTCTTCACAAATTTAAATTGCATTCCCTTGTTTAATAAACTGGGGTCTGTGTTTGATGTGCAATGGGATCTTAAATTGCTATTACATTCTGTCATTTTAGGGCAGTTGGTCACCCTGGCAGGAAACTATCTGGGGGCAGAACTCCTTCAAACCTGCAGGTGGCTGAGTCCCGAGCCTCTGTTTACAGCACCCAGGCTCTCCTCCACATCACTGAGGCCTGCCACAGATCCCTGGCTTGAGTTCTGAACCACCCTTTGATGGATTCTATTCTTCCTTCAGTCCTTTTCAAATCACCCTCCTCTCTGACCTCCTGAATCATATCTCCCTTTAGTTTTCCATCAAATCTTGCTGCTGCTTCAAACTTTTGTTTCCTTCTCAAGCATGATTCAGCCTCTTCTCACTGACTATAAAACAATTAAGTATAGATATCATCTATCCACATTAGCACCCAGGGCCCATACCTCAGCTGGGCCCAGACTATGGCATGCCCTCCAGGTGGAATCAAAGGGAAGTGATGTCCTGCCCCACCAGAGAGAACCTGATTCCCACCCCAAAATAATAACAGCAATAATAATCATTCAAGATTATCCGCAAAGAAAAGAACGTGAAAAGTAAATTTGGAATAAAATTAAAATTGCAATACTTTTATTAACATATATGATAAAGGGGGAAGTTTTCATATTGTGTTTAGATTTTATTGTTCATTTTCAATTTTTATTTTATCACTAAATAATAATGTTTTAACAGAAGAATTTTGGGGGCTTGTTCTGTTTTGTTAATGTTACTTAATTTCTCATACCCTTCTCTAAACTCTACTTGTTATTCAATAAATAGGTAAATAACTTCCTGTAGAGAATTGAAAGGGCAGTTCAACATGCTGAGTTCAATGACTGAAATCATTTGACTTTAAGGTACTAAAATACTATTAAATGAAACTCTTCGTTCAACTACTTAATATGGAAAGAATTAAGCTTCAAAACTGGCTTTATGATGCCACATGTGATCTTCCCCCAAAATTAAAACCTTAGTGCGGTGACTTGTCATAGCATTGAGAAAGAACAGACACCTATTTTGCATTCTGAAATAAATATAATTCACAAATGCATGAGTGGGTGTGTACTTAGACTAATGAAGACAGTTAAATCCATTGTTATTGAAAAAATGCATGGGATTCTGCTGGCTGTATTCCCTTTTGGGTCTTGAGCAATGGATTTCATTTATACCTAAAAATTCCATCTTCTGGCCAGGTGCAGTGGTTCACGCCTGTAATCCCAGCACTTTGGGAGGCTGAGGCAGGCGGATCACTTGAGGTCAGGAGTTCGAAACCAGTCTGGCAAACATGGTGAAACCTCATCTCTACTTAAAATACAAAAAATTATCTGGGCATGGTGGTGGATGCCTGTAATCCCAGCTACTTGGGAGGCTGAGACAGGAAAATCGCTTGAACCTAGGAGGTGGAGGTTGCAGTGAGCTGAGATAGCGTCATTGCACTCCAGCCTAGGCAACAGAGACAGACTCCATCTCAAAAAAAAAAAATTCCATCTTCTACAGTACATAGTATTTCCTTTCAAAAAATATATATATAACTTATATGTAATATATATACATATATACAAAGATATATATTTATATTATATAGTAAATACATATATGTAATATATGTGTATGTATATATTATATATACATACACATATTACATATATTGCATATATGTATGTGTATGCTATTATATATTATATATGTGTGTATTATGTATATAAAATGTATGTATATATTATGTATATAATATACATAAACATAATATAAATATATAATATAATACATATAATTTTATTTAAGTATAAATATATAATATAATATATATAATTAAATATATATACATTATAATATAACATATATTTATACTAATTACATTAATGTAATTTATATATGTATTTTATATACATATGTGTATACATATATTTATTAATATGTATTATATATTGACATATTTATATAATTGTATAGTATATTAATGAAAAATTAATATAAAAATAATTGATAAATGATATTAATACAATATGTTATATATTATCTATTATAATACATATTATATATTATAAAATTTATATAATATATATAATATTCATGAACTCATGAATCATATCTCCCTTTAGTTTTCCATCAAACCTTTGCTGCTGCTTCAAAGTTTTGCTTCCGTCTCAAGCACAATTCAGTCTCTTCTCACTACACATATTGTTTATATATAATACATATGTTGTATATTATATATGACATATTATATATTATGTAATTATATGTTTTGCATATATAATATGTATGTAGTACAGATACAAAATATATATATATTTCCAGTTGACCCTTGAACAAAGCAGGCGCTGGCGCCCCAACCCCCATGCAGTCAGAAATCAGCCTATCACTTTGGACTCCCAAAAAAGTTACTTACTAATAACCTACTATTGACTGGAAGCCTTACCAATAATGTAATTGATTAACACATAAATAGATTAGTATGTACATATATTTTATGCATTAATGATGTAACTTTTTCTTAATTTTTTCAGTATTCCTAGGCTACATGATTCATCTGCAAGTTTTTTTCAAATTGTCACAAATCTCCAAAAAACTTTCCAATATATTTATTGAAAATGTCTGCCTATGAGTGCACCCACACAGTTCACATCTGTGTTGTTCAATCGTCAACTGCATCTGGATAAACAATCAGGATCATATTCCACTTTTCTACTGGTAGGTACCAAATCAATCATAGAATAGAGAAAGTGAATTTTCCTGTTCTAAGGCCTAGAAGCTTGTAAAGAGAGAGAGATGTGCCAGTGTCCAAAAGTACACACACACACAAACATGCACACACACACACGCACAGACACACAAACATGCACACACACAAACATGCACACACACAAACATGCACACACACAAACATGCACACACATGCACACACAAACATGCACACACACATGCACATACACACAAACATGCACACACACAAACATGCACAAACATGCACACACACATGCAGACACACAAACATGCAAACATACACATGCACATACACAAACATGCACACACAAACACGCACACACAAACGCACACAAACATGCACACAAACATGCACACACACACAAACATGCACACACACAAACATGCACAAACTTTTTTCAATAATGAGTCAGCCAAGTAACAATCTTTTCTGTTCAAACGAGGATCTAAAAATAGTATGTGTAATTCAGCCCAAAGTCTTTTTGCAGAGACAAAAACTGCATTCTAAATCCCATCGAAAACTTCATACCAAAATTTAAAATTTATTCTAACTACCTATATTCCTTTCTGTCAATAAAAATTACGCTCTTGCAATCAATAATTTGAATAAAAATTGGAATTGTTTCCAACACTGGCATTGTACTTCTTTGGCTTTTATCAGAAGTTTCACCAAAATGAAACAGGCATTTTTAAAAAGCGGAATGACACATTTGTGGCCTGAGATAAAAGGTGGAATCTGCTGCCTTGTTGCCTGCTCCCTCTCTCTCTCTCAGGTTCACTATCTGTCAAGTCACAAACCTAAGTAAAAGGTGATGTAAACTATAAAGGCAGGTCAGCAACTACCAAATAAAAGTATTCTACTCTACTCAGAAGGCTGTTTTCTTTTTTGCCATTTTTGTTGAGACAAATTGCACTAACATATCATCCACATAGTTGGAAGTAACCAGGGTTTTCTTCACCTATAGAAAAATCAGCTAATTGGATTTGTCATTGCATGTCATAAGCACAAGATTTAAATACAAACTGGAAAGAAACACGTTCAATTGATAAATAGCAGAAATCACTTTTGAGAGTGATTATATGGGAAGCAGTTATAAGTTTCATTTTTTGGCCTAGAAACTTAAATTTTTACATGGAATAAACTGGGCATAAATCATATATTAAAGTAAAAAGGTTTATCCTAGTGGCTGATTTAAAAAACATTAATTTGAACTCAACTTATTAAATTTACTTACAATTTAAAGTGGATAATTCAGATAATTATCTGGAAAGTAGAATTTTGTTGAAAACATCCTCACACTGAAGTAAAGGTATTAGCAGATTTGATTTATTTCCACCCTTCTTCATCTTCCTCTTTATCATTGTCATCATCTTCTTTTGCTTTGGTAAATACAATGAAATTACTATACTTCCAACTCCATAGTGTAAAAACTCATAGCACCCTCTCTCTGGCAACATACAAACATAAGCTCTAATCCTAGTACGAACCAAATACATAACCTTCATAAGAGTGTTCTTCAAGATAGAATATTAGTAAGTTGGCTACATTTTTGTACACTTTCTACATATACTTTGATTGGAAATAATTAATCCTAAAAAATATACAAAACTGCACAACCTATAGGATGTTTTTACAGAGAACTTTAAAATTCCACAGTCATAAGGTGAAAATCTCACCTCCAAAGGAATTATTCCTTTGGGTGTACCTGGAAGACAAAGTTAAATGAAGAATTGTTGGAGTTTATTACATGACATTATCAAGTCTAGAAGTACAATATAGGGTAAAATATGAAGTAACTGATTCTTAAAAGTTCTTTCTCAGCCAGGCGCAGTGGCTCACGCCTGTAATCCCAGCACTTTGGGAGGCCGAGGCAGGCAGATCACCTGAGGTCAGGAGTTCGAGACCTGCCTGGCCAACATGGTGAAACCCCGTCTCTACTAAAAATACAAAAAGTAGTCAGGCGTGGTGCAGGTGTCTATAGTCCCAGCTACTTGGGAGGCTGAGACAGGAGAATTGCTTGAACCTGAAAGGCAGAGGTTGCAGTGAGCCGAGATCATGCCACTGCACTCTAGTCTGGGGGACAGAGTGAGACTCCATCTCAGAAAAAAAAAAAAAAAAGTTATTTCTTTATTCTGAAGTCCAGTCTCACAGCAGTAGGAAGTATATGCTTGACTCTGGTGAATCGCGTTCCTATATTTAATGGTCTGCCAAAATGTGAAATCAGGAAGGAATTTTTCCTGAGAGCACTTTAGAGTAGACATTGGGTAGTTCCAATTTTTTTTCCCGCTGCTCTGAGTTAGGATCTGTGAATGGGGATTGATGTTAGTGAAGACTCAAATCAATATGAAGAGGCGATTGTCTGCATCGTCCTTCCTGTCCAGCTCTGTGCCTCCCTCTAAGACATAGCATGTGCAATATCATTTCATCTGCAAGCTCCTCAGTGGGTGAATGAGTGTTCACTAAGTTATAGCTTCCTCGGTGCTGGAAAATTGGTGTCACATGCTTTGTAGAAGCTGGTAGTTAGACCATGAGGACCTGCTGTGCTTACAGAGGCTGTGTAAAGAAAGTAGAATGTAACAAAAGGAAGGAAAGGTAGCAAAAGGAGCTGGAAATTGCATGATAGCCTGCAACTTCTTTTCCTAGTCCAGACTACTGTGAAATATATATTAAAACTGAACTTCTTGGGGGAAGCTGTCTAGCATAAAATTTAAGGTCTTCAAATTAAAGAATTGTCCAGAAGATGATTTTGTAAAAATAAAGAGAAACTAGTAATGTAATTTGAAATTATTATAAGGTTAAAGCATAAACAAATACACAACAAAAGTGGGAAGTCCCTGAGTATTCTATTGTTTTTCTGTTCCGTTAAAAGTACTAACAGAAAAAATTACAAATGTGTTTGCAAGTGTATAAAAATCTGACAAGATAAATATTTCATACTAATAGTCAGTCTTATTTGCCTATAAATATATATATATATATATATATATATATATATAATCTCAAAAGCAAATCAAACATATTATTTTATAAATTTTTGTTTAAATCCAAGGTTCAAAATTTACTGTAGGGAAGAAAAAGTAGTATCTTTTCCTTACCCATTGTAAGGTTCATGACTGAGACCCCTGTAACAAAACACAGATCAACAACAGAAACACGTAAAAAACGTATCTAACCAAAGTTGTATGTTACAGGGACACCTTCAGAAGTAAAGACCCAGAGACCCAGGGAAAACTGTATTTTTATGCTTAGGTTTGATGGAGAATAGACGGCCTGTAGGAGGATGACGGAACAAATAGTGGGTATGAGCAAACAGTCATTAACTGGGGGGTTTAGCAAGGGCTATTTATTCAGATTCCTCTTGGCCTCTGAGGATAGGGCAGGACCCATCTGGAGTGAGGGTCTTATCGGCCTTCTTCCAGGGGACGTAGGTCAGAGAACTCTCTTCATGGCCTCAGAGGAGAAAGGCAGGAGAAGGTAAGAGAGTGACCTTCCTAGAATCTGGGGTTTCTCATTATCCTTCAGCTTAAAACACTCAGGATCCCAAGGTGCCATATTTTGGGGAAGCATTTCCTGCACTCGATCACTACAAACCAAGGAAAGTAGTATAACTTTTTCAAAGTCATTTATTCCCTACCCTAAAATGTATCTCTTGCTGACAGTATTCGTGATGCATGTCATTTTTCCTTGATTTTATAACAAAAGAAAATAAACTTATGAATCTTAACAGATTAATTCTCATATTTACAGATGACTACATTTTATGATTTCTTCTTGTGTAGGAAAACCATTCCTTGAGAAGCTGGATGATGTTATGAAGTTCCTAGAAGCCGTAAGATGCTTAACCTTTTGGACCTCTGTGCATGTGCACATAAGTTGATACTTAAAACCAACAAACCTGAACAGAGCTGCCTTTTAAAAATGGCTTCAGAGTAGTTTGAGTGATTTCAGTGATGCAATTTTACCTGAATTCATCAGGGATGAAAATCAATGGCTGATACAGCACATCTGGTGTTGTTTCCTGTTAGTTGCTCACACGGTCTGGAGTCCCTGAGGATCCATACTGCGGCACATAACAAAAAGCAATTGCTGGATTGATTGATATTTCAATACGTTGACTTTTATGAAGGTGAGTTAGACTTCACAATAAAAAGGGGCATATTGTTTTGTCTATTTCTTAAGATATTTATGTTCCCACTCGAAATGTAAATAATCCCTATGATTGTTTGATGGGATGAAGCAAGCCAGCACAAATCTGGGTTAATTGTACTATCAGATTTCTATTATAGCTCAAAAGAAAAGCATTTAAATCATCAAAGTTTTGAAACCTTCCGATGAATGTCCGTGTAAAAATTGTTTTTAAAGCCCAACAAAATGTGCCTTTTATTTTTGCATTTCACTACAAAGTGCAATGTAATATAGCATTAACTAAATTGTGGTCCAGATGAAACCAGAGCTGTCTTTCAGGGTCTCATCACATTTCTTTCCATGTGAATTGTAAAATGAAAGGCCTTTGCCCGGGCATGTCCTCTGTGGACTCTTCCTGCAGCTGGATCATTTCATCATTAGACAAAAATGAATACACACTTTCTCAGTGATCCATAGTACTTTACAGTTGTTGTTGCTTTTAATTCTCAGATTTGAATTTTCTATGGATATAATTTCCAACTATTTTAGCCATGGCTCTACACTGAGCTGCTTCCAATATAGCACTTAATCAGAGCTAGTTCTAACTCAGAGAATAGATTCTAAGAAAATAAACTTACCGAGCTGAGGAAGGAGAGAAATTAACTGCATTCCATTTCAGAATGTGACAGGCATCATGAAAA